>NC_000012.12:46702552-46854067 GCF_000001405.40 Homo sapiens | reverse complement strand
TCCTCTCCAGCACCTGTTGTTTCCTGACTTTTTGATGATTGCCATTCTAACTGGTGTGAGATGGTATCTCATTGTGGTTTTGATTTGCATTTCTCTGATGCCCAGTGATGACGAGGATTTTTTCATGTGTCTGTTCGCTGATAAATGTCTTCTTTTGAGAAGTGTCTGTTCATGTCCTTCGCCCACTTTTTGATGGGGTTGTTTGCTTTTTTCTTGTAAATTTGTTTGAGTTCATTGTAGATTCTTTATATTAGCCCTTTGTCAGATGAGTAGATTGCAAAAATGTTCTCCCATTCTGTAGGATGCCTGTTCACTCTGATGGTAGTTTCTTTTGCTGTGCAGAAGCTCTTTAGTTTAATTAGATCCTATTTGTCAATTTTGTCTTTTGTTGCCATTGCTTTTGGTGTTATAGACATGAAGTCCTTGCCCATGCCTATGTCCTGAATGGTATTGCCTAGGTTTTCTTCTAGGGTTTTTATGGTTTTAGGTCTAACATGTAAGTCTTTAATCCATCTTGAATTAATTTTTGTATAAGGTGTAAGGAAGGGATCCAGTTTCAGCTTTCTACATATGGCTAGCCAGTTTTCCCAGCACCATTTATTAAATAGGGAATCCTTTCCCCATTTCTTGTTTTTGCCAGGTTTGTCAAAGATCAGATGGTTGTAGATATGCAGCATTATTTCTGAGGAATCTGTTCTGTTCCATTGGTATATATCCCTGTTTTCATACCAGTACCATGCTGCTTTGGTTACTGTAGCCTTGTAGTATAGTTTGAAGTCAGGTAGCATGATGCCTCCAGCTTTGTTCTTTTGGCTTAGGATTGACTTAGCAATGCAGGCTCTTTTCTGGTTCCATATGAACTTTAAAGTAGTTTTTTCCAATTCTGTGAAGAAAGTCGTTGGTAGCTTGATGGGGATGGCACTGAATCTATAAATTACCTTGGGCAGTATGGCCATTTTCATGATATTGATTCTTCCTACCCATGAGCATGGAATGTTCTTCCATTTGTTTGTATCCTCTTTTATTTCATTGAGCAGTGGTTTGTAGTTCTCCTTGAAGAGCTCCTTCACATCCCTTGTAAGTTGGATTCCTAGGTATTTTATTCTCTTTGAAGAATTGTGAATGGGAGTTCACTCATGATTTGGCTCTCTGTTTGTCTGTTATTCGTGCATAAGAATGCTTGTGATTTTTGCACATTGATTTTGTATCCTGAGACTCTGCTGAAGTTGCTTATCAGCTTAAGGAGATTTTGGGCTGAGACGACGGGGTTTTGTAGATACACAATCATGTCATCTGCAAACAGGGACAATTTGAATTCCTCTTTTCCTAATTGAATGCCCTTTATTTCCTTCTCCTGCCTGATTGCCCTGGCCAGAACTTCCAACACTATGTTGAATAGAAGTGGTGAGAGAGGGCATCCCTGTCTTGTGCCAGTTTTCAAAGGGAATGCTTCCAGTTTTTGCCCATTCAGTAGGATATGGGCTGTGGGTTTGTCATAGATAGCTCTTATTATTTTGAGATATGTCCCATCAATACCTAATTTATTGAGAGTTTTTAGCATGAAGCATTGTTGAATTTTGTCAAAGGCTTTTTCTGCATCTATTGAGATAAGCATATGGTTTTTGTCTTTGGTTCTGTTTATATGCTGGATTACGTTTATTGATTTTCATATGTTGAACAAGCCTTGCATCCCAGGGATGAAGCCCACTTGATCATGGTGGATAAGCTTTTTGATGTGCTGCTCGATTCAGTTTGCCAGTATTTTATGTAGGACTTTTGCATCGATGTTCATCAGGGATATTGGTCTAAAATTCTCTTTTTTTTGTTGTGTCTCTGCCAGGCTTTGGTATCAGGATGATACTGGCCTCATAAAATGAGTTAGGGAGGATTCCCTCTTTTTCTATTGATTGGAATAGTTTCAGAAGGAATGGTACCAGCTCCTCTTTGTACCTCTGGTAGAATTCAGCTGTGAATCCATCTGGTCCTGGACTTTTTTTGGTTGATAAGCTATTAATTATTGCCTCAATTTCAGAGCCTGTTATTGATCTATTCAGAGATTCAACTTCTTCCTGGTTTAGTCTTGGGAGGGTGTATGTGTCGAGGAATTTATCCATTTCTTCTATATTTTCTAGTTTATTTGCATAGAGGTGTTTATAGTATTCTCTGATGGTAGTTTTTATCTCTGTGGGATCAGTGGTGATATCCCCTTTATCATTTTTTATTGTATGTATTTGATTCTTCTCTCTTTTCTTCTTTATTAATCTTGCTAGTGGTCTATCAACTTTGTTGATCTTTTTGAAAAACCAGCTCCTGGATTCATTGATTTTTTGAAGGGTTTTTTGTGTCTCTATTTCCTTCAGTTCTGCTCTGATCTTAGTTATTTCTTGCCTTCTGCTAGCTTTTGAATTTGTTTGCTCTTGTTTCTCTAGTTCTTTTAATTGTGATGTTAGGGTGTCAATTTTAGATCTTTCCTGCTTTCTCTTGTGGGCATTTAGTGCTATAAATTTCCCTCTACACACTGCTTTGAATGTGTCCCAGAGATTCTGGTATGTTGTGTCTTTGTTCTCATTGGTTTCAGAGAACATCTTTATTCCTGCCTTCATTTCGTTATGTCGCCAGTAGTCATTCAGGAGCAGATTGTTCAGTTTCCATGTAGTTGAGCAGTTTTGAGTGAGTTTCTTAATCCTGAGCTCTAGTTTTATTGCACTGTTGTCTGAGAGACAGTTTCTTATAATTTCTGTTCTTTTACATTTGCTGAGGAGTGCTTTACTTCCAACTATGTGGTCAATTTTGGAATAAGTGTGGTGTGGTGCTGAAAAGAATGTATATTCTGTTGATTTGGGGTGGAGAGTTCTGTAGATGTCTATTAGGTCCACTTGGTGCAGAGCTGAGTTCAATTCCTGGATATCCTTGTTAACCTTCTGTCTCATTGATCTGTGTAATGTTGACAGTGGGGTGTTAAAGTCTCCCATTAGTATTGTGTGGGAGTCTAAGTCTCTTTCTAGGTCTCTAAAGACTTGCTTTACGAATCTGGGTGCTCCTATATTGGGTGCATATATATTTAGGATAGTTAGCTCTTCTTGTTGAATTGATCCCTTTACCATTATGTAATGGCCTTCTTTGTCTCTTTTGATCTATGTTAGTTTAAAGTGTGTTTTATCAGAGACTAGGATTGCAACTCCTGCCTTTTTTTGTTTCCCATTTGCTTGGTAGATCTTCCTCCATCCCTTTATTTTGAGCCTATGTGTGTCTCTGCACATGAGATTGGTTTCCTGAATACAGCACACTGATGGGTCTTGCCTCTTTATCCAATTTGCCAGTCTGTGTCTTTTAATTGGAGCATTTAGCCCATTTACTTTTAAGGTTAATATTGGTATGTGTGAATTTGATCCTGTCATTGTGATGTTAGCTGGTTATTTTGCTTGTTAGTTGATGCAGTTTCTTCCTATCCTTAATGGTCTTTACAATTTGGCAAGTTTTTGCAGTGGCTGGTAACGGTTGTTCCTTTCCATGCTTAGTGCTTCCTTCAGGAGCTCTTTTAGGGCAGGCCTGGTGGTGACAAAATTTCTCAGCATTTGTTTGTCTGTAAAGTATTTTATTTCTCCTTCACTTATGAAGCTTAGTTTGGGTGGATATGAAATTCTGGGTTGAAAATTCTTTTCTTTAAGCCTGTTGAATATTGGACCCCACTCTCTTCTGGCTTGTAGAGTTTCTGTGGAGAGATCCACTGTTAGTCTGATGGGCCTCCCTTTGTGGGTAACCCGACCTTTCACTCTGGCTGCCCTTACCATTTTTTCCTTCATTTCAACTTTGGTGAATCTGACAATTATGTGTCTTGGAGTTGCTCTTCTTGAGGAGTATCTTTGTGGCATTCTGTGTTTTTCCTGAATTTGAATTTTGGCCTGCCTTGCTAGATTAGGGAAGTTCTCCTGGATAATATCCTGCAGAGTGTTTTCCAACTTGGTTCCATTCTCCTCGTCACTTGCAGGTACACCAATCAAACGTAGATTTGGTCTTTTCACATAGTCCCATATTTCTTGGAGGCTTTGTTCATTTCTTTTTATTCTTTTTTCTCTAAACTTCTCTTCTCACTTCATTTCATTCATTTGATCTTCCATCCCTGATACCCTTTCTTCCAGTTGATCGAATCAGCTACTGAGGCTTGTGCATTTGTCACGTAGTTCTCGTGCCTTGGTTTTCAGCTCCATCAGGTCCTTTAAGAACTTCTCTGCACTGGTTATTCTAGTTAGCCATTTGACTAATTTTTTTTCAAGGTTTTAACTTCTTTGTTATGGGTTCGAACTTCCTCCTTTAGCTCAGAGTAGTTTGATCGTCTGAAGCCTTCTCTCAACTCGTCAAAGTCATTCTCCATCCAGCTTTGTTCCATTGCTGGTGAGGAGCTGCGTTCCTTTGGAGGAGGAGAGGCACTCTGCTTTTTAGAGTTTCCAGTTTTTCTAATCTTTTTTTCCCCCATCTTTGTGGTTTTATCTACCTTTGGTCTTTGATGATGGTGACGTACAGATGGGTTTTTGGTGTGGATGTCCTTTCTGTTTGGTAGTTTTCCTTCTAACAGTCAGGACCCTCAGCTGCAGGTCTGTTGGAGTTTGCTGGAGGTCCACTCCAGACCCTGTTTGCCTGGGTATCAGCAGCAGAGGCTGCAGAACAGCGGATATTGGTGAGCAGCAAATGTTGCTGCCTGATCGTTCCTCTGGAATTTTGTCTTAGAGGAGTACCCAGCCGTATGAGATGTCAGTCTGCCCCTACTGGGGGGTGCCTCCCAGTTAGGCTACTCGGGGTCAAGGACCCACTTGAGGAGGCAATCTGTCCATTCTCAGATCTCCAGCTGCGTGCTGGGAGAACCACTACTCTCTTCAAAGCTGTCAGACAGGGACATTTAAGTCTGAAGAGGATTCTGCTGCCTTTTGTTTGGCTATTACCTACCCCCAGAGGTGGAGTCTACAGAGCAGGCAGACCTCCTTGAGCTGAGGTGGGCTCCACCTAGTTGGAGCTTCCTGGCCGCTTTGTTTACCTACTCAAGCCTCAGCAATGCTGGGCGCCCCTCCCCCAGCCTCGCTGCCGCCTTGCAGTTTGATCTCAGACTGCTGTGCTAGGAATGAGCGAGGCTCCGTGGGCGTAGGACCCTCTGAGCCAGGCCGTATGCCACTTTCATACCCACCTACTGATGTATGGACTTCAGAGTAATGTGGCCTATATTAATTTTCCAGTATTGTTCTTTTGTTTGTTGTTTTTCTTCCTTCTTCCCCTTATTTCCTCTTCATAGGACAGGAAACTTCACAACTTTCTAAAAATGAACTTTCCTAATAACTCCAGACCTACATGCCTAGGGATAAACCATCTTAGCCATCACAGATCAAATGAAACCTGAGACCAGAGACTCATTTTCTTCTAAAATCCTTTCTCCAAAAGATTTTCAAAAAGAAAAGGCGGTAAATGTGAAAGGAAAATATCTTGGGCACCCCAAATCGCTAAGTTAGAAGGAAAATTCAAGCTGGGAACTGTTTAGGGCAAACCTGCCTCCCATTCTATTCAGTGTAACCCCTGTACTCACTGAGATAAATGCACATGTGATTGCCTCCTTTGGAAAGGCTCATCAGAAACTCAAAAGAATACAACGCTTTTTCTCATATCTACCTATGACCTGGAAGCCCCCTCCCTCCTTGAGTTGTCCTGCCTTTCCAGACTGAACCAATTTTCATCTTACATATGTTGATTGATGTCTCATGTCTCTCTAATATGTATAAAATCAAACTGCACTCTAACCACCTTGGTCACATGTCATCAGGACTTCCTGAGGCTGTGTCATGGGTGTGCATCCTTGACTTTGGCAAAATAAACTTTCTAAATCAAGTGAGACCTGTCTCAGATTTTCAGGGTTCACAGATCTTTGACAAAGTTGGCAAGAACACACAACAGGGAAATAAGTCTGTTTCAATAAATAATTTTGGGAAAACTGGATATCCACATGCAGAAGAATGGAATTAGACTCTTTTCTTATACCATATAAAAATTAACTCAAAATAGATCAAAGGCTTAAATGTAAGGCCTGAGACTGTAAAACTGCTAGATGCAACATAGGGAAAAAGCTTCTTGACATTGGTCAGGGCAATTATTTTTGGACATGACCCCAAAAGCATAAACAACAAAAGCAAAAATAGAAAAATTAGATTGCATCAAACTAAAACTGCTGCATAGCAATCGTAACAATCAACAGAATAAAGAGATAACATATGACAGAACATAGAAAACATTTGCAAAGCATATATCTGATAAGAAATTTAGTATCAAAAGTATATAAGAACTCAAATAACTCAATAGCAAGAAAACAAATAATCTGATTTAAAAGTGGCCAAAGGACCTAAATAAATATTTGTCAAGAGAAGACATACAAAAGGCCAAGAAGTATATGAAAAAATGCTCAATATCCCTAATCATATGTGAAGTACAAATTAAAACCACAATGAGATAGTGCCTCATACCTGTTAGAATGGCTATTATCAAAAAGACAATTAGATAGCAAGTGTTAAGGTGAGGATGTAAAGAAAAAGAAAGCTTTGTACACTGTTGACGGGAATGTAAATTCATATAGCCATTGTGGTAAACAGTATGAAGTTTCTTCAAAAAATTATGAAATAGAACTACTATTCGATCCAGCAATCCCATGTCTGCGTATAGAGCCAAAGGAAATGAAGTCAGTATGTTGAAAAGATTTCTGCACTCCCATGTTCATTGAGGCAGTACTCACAATAGTCAAGATATGCAATAAACTTAAGTGTTCATCAACAGGTGAGTGGATAAAGAAAACATGGAATATATACACAATGGAATAGTATTCAGCCTTGAAAAAGAAGAGAATCCTGCTATCTGCAACAACATGGATGAACCTGGAGGACATTATGCCAACTGGCATAAGCCAGGGACAGAAAGACACATTGCATGATCTCACCAATATATGGAATCCAAAAAGTTGAATCCATAGAAGCATGGAGCAGAATGGTGGTTGCCAAAGGTTTGGAGGTAAGAAGATTAAAAAAAATAGAAAAGTTAGATTCTTTTCCTTCTATAAAAGTAGATGTATGCCATCAATGGAATCTATGCCATCAATCTGTTCCATTGATGGCATATATTTTCATTTATAGCTGTAGCACCATATTGTCTTGACTAATTGAAGGTGTGAGCTCTGTAAGTTTATTCTTCAAGACTATTGTGACCTCTTTAATTTCCATATGAATTTTAGAGTCAGCTTGTCCGTTTCTGCAAAGAACACAGTAGGAATTTTGATAGGCATTGCATGGAATCTGTGTATCAATTTAGGGAGTATTGCTGCCATCTTAACAATGTTGGGTCTTCTATTCCAGTAACATGAGGTGTTTTTCCATTATTTTAATTATTTATTTTTATTTCAGTAGTTGTTGGAGTACAGTTGATTTTTGGTTACACGGATAAGTTCTTTAGTGGTGATTTCTGAGATTTTGGTGCACCTATCACTCAGTGTGGGATAAAAGACTACAATGTCTTTCTATTTGTAAAATTTTTCTAAATTTCTTTCAACAATGTATTGCAGTTTTCAGACTATAAACTTTACACTTCTTTTATTAAATGTATTCCTAAGCATTTTATCCTTTTTGATGCTACTATAAATACAATCATTTTCTTAATTTTATTTTCAGATTGTTCATTACAATTGTATAGAAATAAAATTGATTTTACAAATTGATCTTTTATCCTGAATCCTTGATGAACCAATTTATTAGTTCTAATAGTTTGCTGTGCATCCTTTTGGATTTTCTTTATACTAGATTACATCATCTTCAAATAGAGATAGTTTTACTTTCTTTTCAATCTGGATGTTTTTTACCTCATTTTCTTGCCTAATTGCCCAGGATAGAACCTTTAGCACAATATTGAATAAAAGTGGCAAGAGTAGACAACCTTGTTACTGATTTTAGGTAACAGTATATATTGAGGATAAGACGTATAAATCATTTAAATAATTAGAATTATTAATGGGATAAATAATATTAAAGGAATAATATCAATGGCATAGTAGCCATGTTCTGAAAGAGGAAGTAAGGAACTTTCCCAGTGGAAATTTCTGTATGAGCCTTCAATTACCTGTAAAATGGAACAGTAGAGTTCACATCTCATGGGCAGTATCAGAACAAGGTGAAGAGCATGTACTTTTTTTTGAGATACAGTCTCGCTCTGTTGCCCAGGCTGGAGTGCAGTGGCACGATCTCAGCTCACTGCACCCTCCACCTCCTGGATTCAAGCGATTCTTCTCCCTCAGCCTCCCAAGTAGCTGAAATTACAAGCACACACCACTACACGCAGCTAATTTTTTATATTTTTGGTAGAGATGGGATTTCACCATGTTGGCCACGTTGGTCTCGAACTCCTGACCTCAAGTGATCCACCCCCACCTTGACCTCCCAAAATGTTGGGATTATAGGCATCAGCCACCACACCCGACCAGCCGCATGTAACGTTCTTCATCAACTGTCATCTATCCGCAAGATCATGCTGTCTTGGTCCCTTCTTTCATAATTCTTTAAGCCTCAGGTTAGGCGTTACCTCCTCAGGAAATCCCTCCTCACTCTCTTTTTCCCCAGGTGGAGCGGAGTGTCCTCTCTCTGCACACACACTTTTTACTTAGCTGACCTCTGTCACTGTACTAACCACCTTGAAAACCCACTTGAGCCTGTCATCCTCAAAGGCTATTAGCTCCGTTCTCATGCGTGTATCATGTCATCTGGCATAGAGAATTCAGATATTCAAGAAATGTTCATTGAATAAATAGAAAAATTTAACTTTTCATTTTGCAAACAGGGAATGGAGTTCTTCAGATTCTGCCTCTTTCCCAAGCATATATTGTATGTTATTAATGTCTCCATGAAAGAAGTTATATAGGGATTTGTGATTGCAGCTTGGAAATTCCATCTCTGCATCTTTGAGGCATCTTTTACCACAAAGGCCAGGCACTTAGGCACATATGTTATCAGTGGAGCAAATTTTCAAATTTCTTTTTAGTGCCTACATGAGATGGGTGGAAAAGTGGGAGAGAGGGGAAATACTGAGAACTGTGTGATTCTTATGCACTTTCTTTATCAGGAGCCCCTGAAGAGCTCCCTGTTTTTTAAATGTAAGAGAAATGTTGTATATACATCTCCCATTTTTAGTGGCCATGGATCTTTGTCTTTTTTGTTAACTTCAGGGCACGGCTGTGCCTAATCTTCAGGGCAGAAGGGCGGGCTCCTGGGAGTGGAGAAATGTAAATGTTCCTAGACCATGAAGATTTGTCCCTAATCATGGCAGAAAACCAAGAACTGGGGTCTCAGATGACCTAAAGCCACTGTAACCCCAAAGCGACCCAGTGTGAGGCCAAGGGAGCAGAGCAAGCTCCCATCTTCCCTCCTCTGCCCTACCCCTCCCAGTATCACCTCCACTGCTCTGAAATCTAAATAGATCCTTTAGCCTTCTGGCCCAGAAAGAGGAAGGGGAGAACAAATTTCTCTCTGAGAGGCCAGGCCTGGGGGCCTCAGCTTCCTAAAGTGGAAGCCTGAGGTCTGCCAATGTCTTTCCCTCCAGCCTCTCCTGATGCTAAACAGAATGCTAAACAGATCACAGACCCCAAAGTGCACTAATTGTTTTGTCAGAGTTAAGTCACTAGCTACTGTACTTATTGGTGAGGTGGTAATACATAGTAATGGGAAGCCACATTCCCGGTGTCTTTTAAAGAAAACTTAATAGCCAACTTTTGCGTGTGTTTCCCAAAGCAATGCAAACAGATAATTTACCAGAAGAGAAAAATTCAGTTAATATCTTCTGGTGTCATATTCCTTCATTAAATATTGGCATCCTAAATACTTCCAAATTACCGGCCTCTCTTCCTATTCCACATAGAGTTAAAATAATATTTGCCTAAAAGCAATATTTGCCTCCAAAACCATAGGATTGAGAGTCAATACTCCTTGGTAGCTGTCCTAAAGAAGTATACAGAAAAAGATTGCTATCCCCAGTACTAAATCATAGCCCAGGCATGAGTCCAGCAGTTGAGAAACTCACATTGGAGTCTTTGGGCTTGGATACTGCTAACGCAGGAAATGCCAGGCCCCAACTCCTTTCTGTCTTCTGTGCTCGACTAATTTCTTACCATTAACATGTAGGAGAGGCTTTTATGGCAGGAGGAGGAAGGAGCAGAGCAAAAAGGAGGAAGAGGAAGATGCAGGGGCTGGCATGACCTCTGGTTCCTGCCCTGGGTCCTAAGGAACTCAGGATTCCTTTCTCCCCACCACTGCCAAGCCCATCCAGGTGGGGGCCTCCTTGGGACAGAAGCTTGGGAATTCTTCGCAACCACACTTTGGGGGTGGGCAAGGGTGTCCCTCTCTGAACTTTTCTAAGTGGCTCCATCAACAGCTGGAGTGAAATAGATGCCAGAACATAGGAAGAGAATCAGGGGACAACTGCTGATGACAAGCTGGTCTATGGGCATGTGAGAGGTTCCCTCACTGGATACACTTAGAAATAACTAGGGGTGTTTTGAAACAGAGGAACCAGGTCCTAGTGTTGCTTTGATAGGAGATTATATATATTGCATGTAAATAACAAAATTATATTATGTTAGGTTATGTTATATAATATCATACCATATCACATCACACATTATATTATCCTCTATTACATTTAAGCTTATGTAGGAATGGAACTTTGTATCTTAGAATGGATAGGCACTGAATATTGATGAATGAATAGTTAATGTTTTACGACACTTGGTATAGTCCCTTGCATATAGAAAGAGACAATGGATGAGTTTATCCTTTTGCATAGTTTCACATTTTAAAAAATTGCTACTTATTACAATTCACATAACAAGTTGCCGATAAAATGCCAGTTTTTATAAAGCATCTCCAGCATGGAACTGTTTTAACTAAAGTTTGTGTACATCTCTTGGTTACATACTATCCTTTACATTCTTTTATTTCACTTTCTTTTGTTACTAAAATGAGCAAAAGTTATACAAATTAATTTTGCTGGCTACATAAAACAGCTGGTTTTCATAAATGAAAATATAATTGAATGCTTTTTTGCAGCTAATCAGCATTCTCTTTTCTTTATAATTATTTCTTCATTAAGACTGGGGTACTATGAGAACATCTTACTATAGAATGATTACACCCAAGTTCAGGTGTAAGAATTTCTTCCTCCAGCAGGGAGGATGCCGTGGCCATCCTCCTTTTTCCCAGGGCAATGTAGTGTGGTCAAGTGTTGCCCTACCTAGCCTTTAGCCTCCCTTTACTCATAGCTGCCATATTATTTTCCACCTGCAGAATCAGTTTCACCTTAGGCCAGAGGAATCTTATATTCAGGGACTCTTCCTTGAGTCACTTGGGTAGCCAGAATTGACAATAGGTTTCTGCTTTGTTTCGTCTAATCTAAATTCTTCCTCTGGAACCTGCCTTGGACTCCAGTTTCCTTGGAGGGACTGGTATCCTGTCCCCAGTTCCCAGGACCATGACAAGAGAAGTCCATGACCAAAGTGCCCCTAAGTTTCCTATCCCAGGTCTCTTCTCCGCTCCCTCCACACTACTGCCTAGAATTTCCTAATTCTGCCTAGAGGTCAAGACCTTGATTCACTCCCCTTGCTTGGCCCTCCTCCTCCTCCACACTATGGCTGGTTGTTACCAGATCTGTGGGTTCTGTGTTTGACCTGCTGGACCTGCCACCCTCTCAATGCATTCCTCAAATCTGTCTGCTCAGTGGGTGAGCTTGGTCTAGATAGTCCCAGTTTAGCAGGAGCAGGAACCTCTTGGGGAACCTGTTAAAAATGTAGATCCCTGGGTTCATCCCAGAAATTATAATTCAGTAACTCTGCAGTGGGACTAGGTAATGTTTTACATTCTCATTCAAGGTGCCATCCTGGGAGCCTACTTTACAAAACACTCACCCGGTGCAGGCTTCAGGCCAGTTGGCGCCAGCTGCTGAAATGCATGGACCTGGTCTTAGGAGCAAGCAGGAGCCATACAGCATTTATTGATGCTGAAGCACAAAGAACACAAGGCTCTTTGGGCCCAAGTCATTCCCTGACATTAAGATAGGGTCCTAGGAAGTGGTGAGAGCTTGCCTCCCAAATAGGCATCCTTTTGACCTGGTTTAATTTTATGCATTTCAAGAGAGAGAACAGCGGTTTACAAATCTGGCTACCCATTATAATGACCTGTGGTATGCCATGAAAATATAGATTCAAGGGCCACAGCCCAACGTTATTACGAACCATCTTCTCCAGAATGGAGTCTGGGAGTTTCTATTTTACCCCATGCTGCAGATAAATGTGATGCAAACCTGTGATTGCTCTGTCAGCCATTAGAGACTAAAAGGATATTCATATTCCTTCCTGGTACCTGAGATTCATCCCTTTGACCTGAAGGTTATTTTATTATTCTGTTAATATGCAAACATTCTTGGGAAAGAGGAACCCTTCAAATACCAAAGAATAGTAATAATTGATGTTAAACACAACCACGTTGTTTTTGGGAGGGTGTTTAGGTATGTTCCAACAATGTCTCAGTTGGAACCATGAGGCTACTTAGTTCTACATTCCTTTGTACATACTTCTTAGCACTGTTCCCTGCCATCCCCACAATTACTTTCATGTAGAATTCTTCTTTTTACATAACACGCCCCTCCACCAGACTACACTGTTAAGAATAGAGAGCGTCAAATTTGTCTCTGTATCTTAACATTATCCAGCATGTAAGTGTTCAAAAAATTGTGGCTTAATAAGCAGAAGATAGTAGCTTTATTCTCACATCTTAATCCAGTGGGCTTATCAGGCCTTTTTCTCTGAACAGGTTTTAATAGAGAATTAAAGAAGAATGAGAACATAAGAACCCTGGGATGCCATCTGTCAATGGGGCAAGAGAAAGCTGAAGACATATTAGACAGATGTCAAATGGTCATATTTTTTCTAGGTCAGCTCTGGAAAGGGTGAGCCTGTCTCATATCAGGACATCTCCTAGGCTTCCCATAATATAGGTCTTTGCAGGGCTTGCTCTGGAGGCACGCAGAAGAGGTAACTCCCTGTGGGTTTTGGTTTTGGTAGTGCCTAAATGCTTGCTTCCCCTAGATATTCAGTCTGCTGACATCTAAGTAAGAACAAGCTGCTGATAAAATGAGAGGACATTAAATTTTGATGGAGTATCTAGAGATTGAGACACCACACCCAGAGGAAGAGTAGAGAATTTGCTTTCATACTTGGTAGAATTAACATTTTTGCCCTGCAAGAAATAGGAAATAGAGCAGTGGACAGGCATCAAGGGACAATAGGAAAAGGAAAGACACTTAAAGGAGAAGGTTGGACAGTGTGCCAAAGTCACCCTCCATCCAACTTACTCTTCTGTTTATCGCCAACCTAAAGAAGGTTGTGCTTCGGTAAAGGGTAGGGACTCTCCCTGGTGGGATAATTTTAAATTGACAGCAAGGGTAACAGAATAATGGGTTGATGAGCAGAAGACCTTATTTGATGAGGATGTTTGGAATTTATATTCGGATATCAAATGCCATGATCATCTAGACAAACTCATATACTAGCTCATACCTTTAAAAAGGGATGGTTGAGTTTGTCTGGTGAGATTTACCCTTGATGATACTAATTATACTGGTAGCATGAAAACTGGTTGCATTAAAAAACGCAAAATCAGAACCTAGAATTAAGGTGTGACTTTGTTCTTTACACATTAAATATTGCAGGATCTTGCAACACATCTTTCCTAACATACTACATGCTGCAATATGTCAACACAAACTGAAGAACAAATGTAGGACTGCGTGTAAATCTCAGTTACATATTGACTTTCCCACTTTTCTGTTTGTTCATGTGTCTAAGGGTTAAAGGAACCTCTCTTGACATCAAGTACCAAATCCTCCTTAAAGTGGAGGTACTCTGGCCTTGTATCAGGGGCTCATTCCTTCTGACTCACCCAGGTTTTTCCAGTTCACAGTCTGGTTTATTATAAGGGCCAGACTTTTTTTTTTCTGAACTCTTTGTGGCAAGTTGAATTAACAAATTCCTTTATGCCCCATCTTGCTCATCAGTGGAGGATCTGATATCAAAAAGATTCCACCGAGCTGGATCATTTCTTCCAGATAGCAAAGGGAGCAACCACGGACAAGTAGTGTACTCTGATGTTTAGAGCCATGTGGCTGACCTAGGGCAGGGCAAAGACAAAAGCACTGCATTGGGGGGTGGATGAGATTTTCAGCTATTAAGAAAGGGCCAGGATAATAAAAGTAACCCTGGCTATCTCTAGAAAAGTAATGCATGTCTTTGAGAGGTATATGGATTCACAGGAAACCTAGTCACATAGACCAGCCTATGGTGGGGAGACAGAATTGGAATTTTAGTTCCACATTTATCCCGTTTTGGAGACTAGAGCTTATCTGGCTCTGAAGAAAATGAGTAGAGAACAGCTGAGGAGGTCAGGTGTCCGTTTTGCTACCTAAGGCAACTGCTCCACTGAGATGAATCCCCCTCCCCCCACCATCTCAGGAGCACCAGCTCATAACCTGCTTCAACTGCAGGCTTGGGCATCCTACAGCATATAAATATGCTGAGTTGCAATCGTCTTTAAGAAACAAACATTTTCTCGTATTCATCTTTGAGTCATTTCCTCAGTGAAGTCTCTCCCCAGACCCAGTGTATCTTTTCATCCCTGCAGTTTTGTCATCCTATGTTTATTCCTGTCACTTTTTGATTAGAATACTTGCTTCTACCAAATTATAAACTCCACAAAGATGGGGATTGTGCCTGGTTTTGCTCACTATTCTGTTCCTAGCATCTAGCCTTTAGGAGGTACCCAATAAATAACTGTTGTATCAGAGGATGAATAAATGTGGACAGCCCCTGGTTTTCCAAGGGAGGAGATGGGGTCACCAGACTTGAATAGGGGTCTACCTATGGGCAGGCCGAGCCCAGAGGGAGAGACATCTCAAGGTAGGTCAGTGTCTGAGAGGCACAAATTCCTTGAGAAGGTGTTTGTGCCAGGGCCTTCCTTTATGAAGCCAAATTAGCCAGAATTTCAAGTTTACTTTTCTATTCTGGAATACCCCTGACATGTGTTTCACTCTTCAGAACTTGTCATTATGTAGAGTCCTGCCTTTGTGGGCTGATCAGGCAGGACGGCAATGAGAGACAAGGGCCAGGTCCAGACCTTTCACCTTTCTGAAAGTCTCATCAGAGAAGGGGCTGGAAGAGCACTGGTCCCCAAAGGGGAGTAGGAGGCAGAATGGCTCCTGGTCAGTGGCTGTTGCATGAAGAGGCACAGAAGATGACTCCAGTCAGATTCAAATCCTCCAATGTATCACATAGGTTAGGAAGGTTTCTCTCTTCCAGACCAAAGTAAGGTAAGGCCCCTCATCAAATTAGGTTGTAATTTTAGAACCCCTACATTGCAAAGTGTTTTTCATAGTAGTATTTCAATCAAAAATGTTTTGTTTGATACAATTATATTCTCACCTTTAATAAAATTATTTACTCAGCAAAACTTCTGAAAAGTAGAAAAGCTTGAATTGATTTATCCATCCATCCATTCACTGATTTATTCAGCAAAAATATTCTGACAAAGCATCTACAGGACTTGCAGGATCAAGAGGAACCATGCAAACAACTGATTACATGATGAGACATAATAGAAACAACACTGCAGCATTGAACAACCAAACACTGGAGGGGAATGAAAATGAGCACCTAATTCTGACCCCTTTCATGACACCTGCATTTGAAGATGAAAAGTTGAATGTTTCTGTACAACTTTGCAAGTTTTGTTTCATTTTAGATTTAGCCTTGTGAAAATTAGAAAATAGATTAATATTCTCTATCTCTTCAGAAGGCAAATAAGAGGAAGGTGGAGTTTAATTCTGGCAACCAAGGAATAAGGGAAGCAAATACCCAGAATTGGAGCAATTGTAGGATATAAAGACCACCCAAGTATAAGGATCAATTAGTCACCTCTCTTGAACTAAGGTTTCAACATAAATCAAATCCAAATTCATACAAAATAAAAACATTTTACTATCATTAGAAGACTTACAGAGGTTCCTGCAGTTATGACAAAGCAAAAGATTACTTTATAGAAATTTATTTTTAAAATCATAATTTTATGGCTAAACATGCCATTTGGGGTTGGCTCCACTGTAGACAGAAAAGCAATAATGAGTATTAGTAAAGAAAATGCTCAGAAGAAAAGGGAAGTGAGCTGTGGAAGGAGGGATGTTGAATTTAGAGCCAGAAAACCTAGTTCATACTTTAGTTTTGTCATTTATTGGCCCCATGTCTTTGGAAAAGTCACTTAACCTCTCTGAACCCAATTTCCTCTCCCATTGAAAGGGGAAAATAAAAATACCTACATGACAGGATTGTTTTGGTATAAAGTAGCATAACACATGTGAAGATACTTTGAAACCTAAAGCCACTTTACTAATTATGATAACTATTCATTGAAAAATAACTCATGTTAAAACTCTACTGTCAAATAAAACATTAATTATATAAAAGCCTACTAAAATCACTGCAATCAGACTTCACGATGATAATCCATAAACAAATGAACTTCGTAGCACTATTATATGGTGTTTAAATAATAATTATGTTCTATGTCCTTCCTAAGGCATATGTTTATATTAGTCTATTAATGGTTCTCTGGATCATTAAACCTGTGAGATATTCCTTCACAAATCATGATCATAGAGAAATACTGCATGCTCTATCCCAACTTAAGAGTGTCATCGAGTTTTTGACTAATTAAAAACCTCAAAGAACAAAACACCCCAAAAAGCCAAAGCAATCCTGATTGAAAAGTACAAAGCCAGAGGTATCACAATACCTGATTTCAAAATATACTACAAAGCTATAGTAACCAAATCTGCATAGTACTGGCATAAAAATAGACATATAGACCAATGGAACATAATAGAGAACCCAGAAATAAATCTACACATTTACAGCCAACATGTTCTCGACAAAGGCACCAAGAGCATACACTGGGGAAGGGACAGTCTTCAAGAAATGGTGCTGGGAAAACTGGACATATATATGCAGAAGAAGGAAACTAGACCCCAATCTCTCATCATACACAAAAATCAAATCAAAATGGATTAAAGACTTAAATCTAAGGCCTGAAACTATGAAACTACTAGAAGAAAACATTGGGGGAAATTCTCCAAGACATGGTTCTGGACAAAGAGTTTTTGTGCAAGACCTAAAAAGCACAGGCAACAAAAGCCAAAACAGACAAGTGGGATTATATCATGCTAAAAAGCTTCTGCATGGCAAACAACAACAACAAATCAACAAAGGGAAGATAAAACTCACAGAATGGGAGAATATTTGCAAACTATCCTTCTGACAAGGAATTAATAACCAGAATATACAAGAAGCTCAAATAACTCAATAGCAAAAAGAAAAAAAAACCTAAAATTAAAAAAATTAGCAAAGGGTGTGAATAGAAAATTTTCAAAAGAAGACATACAAATGGCCAACAGGCATATGAAAAAATGCTCAATATCACCAACCATCAGAGAAATACAAATCAAAATGACAATAAGCACCATGCAGCCATAAAAAAGAATGAGATCATGTCCTTTGCAGTGACATGGATGGAGCTGGCAGCCATTAGCCTTAGCAAACCAATGCAGGAACAGAAAACCAAATACTGCAAGTTCTAACTTATAAGTGGGAGCTAAATGGTGAAAACACATGGTCATATAGAGGAGAACAACACACAGGGGCCTATCAGAGGGTGAAGGGTGGAATGAGGGAGAGAATCAGGAAAAATAACTAATGGGTACTAGGCTTAATACCTGGGTGATGAAGTAATTTATACAAGAAACCCCCATGACACACGTTTACCAATGTAACAAACCTGCACATCCTGCACATGTACCCCTGAACTTAAAATATAAGTTAGAAAAACATACATAATTACATTTAATTTTTTTTTAAAAAAACTATGTCATCTCACCCTAGTTAAAATGGCTTTTATCAAAAAGATAGGAAGTAACAGATGCTGGCAAGGAAGTGGAGAAAGAGGAACCCTCATGCACTGTTGGTGGAAATATAAACTAGTATAGCCATTATGGATAACTGTATGGAGGTTCTCAAAAAACTAACAATAGAACTACTATATAATCCAACAGCTCCACTTCTGGGTATATATCCAAAAGGAAGGAAATCAATATATTGAAGGTATATCTAAACTTCCATGTTTTTTGTGGTAATACTCAAAATTGCCAAAATATGGAATCAATCTAGGTGTCCATCAATGGAAGAATGGATAAAGAAAATGTGATATATATATACAAGGGAATATTATTCAGCTGAAAAAAGAATGAAATCCTGTCATTTGCAGTAACGTGGATAAAACTGGAGGTCATTACACTAACTAAAATAAGCCATACACAGAGAGACAAATATTGCATTTTCTCAGTGACATATGGGAGCTAAAAAAGTGGATCTCATAAAAATAAAGAGAAGATTGGTGGGTACAAAAGTGCAGTTAGATAGAAAGAATAAGCCCTAGCATGTAATAGATTAGTAGGATGACTATAGTTAACAATAATAATTGATTGTATATTTCAAAATAGCTAGAAGAGAATAATTTTAATGTTTCTAGTATAAAGAAAAGATAAATATTTAAGGTAATAGCCCAATTACACTGATTTGATCTTTACAAATTATATGAATGTATTAAATTATCACATGTGCTTCAGATAATATGTACATCTATTTAAAAAATAAAACCTTTGAGGAATCACGATAATTGTAACAGTGTTATTTTAAACTTGTTGCAGCATAGAACTCTGTCTACAAGCATTAGCTTCAGTTCTGAAAAATATATTTCATAAATTTTTAAATATAGATTTTTCTTAAAACAAAAGCAACCACAACAAAACCAATGACCACTCCTAAAACCAGAGTGTTAAAATAATTTTAGAGTGTTCCAATCAATTCAGCTTTATCAAAATGATGAGTAAATTCTAACTGTTCTGTAAACTTCTGTTTTTCTCCATCACTAAGTGTGTTTGTAGTACTGTCTGAACTTGACTTAAGCCAGGAAAGCAATGTATCAGGAAACATTCTGTATTTTTCAGATGACAAACTGAGCCACTAAGAGCTAAAGAGACTTGTCCAAGTTTCCATAGCTAGTAGGTGGTGACTCTGGGATTCTAAATCAAGCTATGTACTCTACAGCCAGTGAATGATCTGAGGAGAAACCAAAATGTGTTTCACAATGTGGCCTTCAGGAATACTCATGTCATTAGTTAGAATTGCTTCCCATCCTTTCAAACACTAGTTTAAAAGAAACCCTTGAGGATTGGTGAGCAGATTCAATGTGGCCATTAATGGTTCAAACTTTTTATTGTAACACAGAAAATAAAGAGTTGTCAGTTGTCTTATCCTACCTAGGCATTGCGTTAGATCTTCTCAGACTCTACTGATGTATAATAGCCATAATTTTATTGTTTTATAGATGAATACAAGACTCATTTAACCTCAACCCACAACCTGATTAATATTACTAGCACATATAAATGCATAACTCATAGTTCTCTATTACATTAGACCATGAACCACTGCTTTTGATCTCTTCTGTACTAGCTAAGATATGATGTCAAGAACTGATTAAATAAGCAGTCCCTTTAAAAGTTGAGCAGTTGCGGTCAGGCGTGGTGGCTCACGCCTGTAATCCCAGCGCTTTGGGAGGCCAAGGCAGGCGGATCACGAGACCATCCTGGCTAACACGGTGAAACCCCGTCTCTACTAAAAATACAAAAAATTAGCCGGGCGTGGCGGCGGGCGCCTGTAGTCCCAGCTACTCGGGAGGCTGAGGCAGGAGAATGACGTGAACCCAGGAGGCGGAGCTTGCAGTGAGCCGAGATTGGGCTACTGCACTCCAGCCTGGGCGACGAGTGAGACTCCGTCTCAAAAAAAAAAAAACAAAAAAACAAAAAAACAAAAAACGTTGAGCAGTTGCACAGTAAACCAGTTTGTGTCGTGGAATTACTTATCTTGAGAAGACTCAAATGATCTTACCTTCATTTGAGTCTTCCTTCTCTGGAATGGCTTTTTGTTTTATAAACCTGAGTTTTGCTTTTACTAAATCGCAGGTTAGGAAAAGAGAAATGTGTATCTACCTTGATCTCACTAATTCTCTCCAAATCCTACCAATTTTGACATTTTAGTAGCTTTATAAAAGATGTTTATATTTATAAAGTAAGAATCAATGGAGAAGTGTGATAATGTGTAGAGAATCTAGTTTCAACAAGCTTATAGGGAATTCAAAACTATTCTGATACAGTCTAATTCCACAAAATGTAAACTTCTTGCTATGATAGAGAGGTTTACCGTATTTGCTTGGGGGCTCAGAAGAAAATCAGTTTTTACAAAACAAACATTTTTATATAATTTTTTTTAGTTTCTAAAATTGTAGCTCCAGTGAAAGTGTGTTACATCATCCTTCTATTGAATCTGTATTGTCAGATTGTCCTAGTACAGTTTGATGTGTATGTGTGTGTGCATTAATCCTGTGTTCTTAGTGTTTCTGATTATTATGCATTATCCAGGTGAGTTTCTGCTGTTATCTTATTTTTTTAAAGCACTAAGCTGTTGCTGGTTTTAGTTATTGGGAGCTATAAAACGAGAAGGTTCTAGGTGGACAGTATGGACAGGCAGTGAAACTTGCCATTCTGAATAAAGTTAAACTGGATGTGTGAGAATACAAAAGGTAAATTGTGTTGCCTGGAGAGTTAGTTACACTGTGGGTTCAACGTCTCCATAGGATAGTTTTCTTTCCCTAAAGAATGACAACTCACTACTAAATAAATGGGGGATTGTGAACATATTTGTTACACAGGCCTTCTTCGAAACAAGAATTTTGTTTAATACTAGAGAATAGTTTCAACGTAAATAATTTTCCTTACAATGGTAGGTTGTAACTTTAACAAATAGAATTAACGTTCGAATGCTATTTATTATTATAGCCTAATTCCTTCTTCATATGTACTGAGGATTGTGCTTAAACTGGAATTCTAGAAAAAAAAATTATCACCAAAGACCCACTCTTAAGTACTAGCAAGTTATCCCATTTCTTTCATGCATAAAGTGACGTTTACTGTGAATGACAGGTTTTTCATTTGTACTCCTTCCTCAAATGTTTCTTTTTCTTTATGTAAAGTTCACGTTTGTCACCTCCATACCAGGAGGAAATTTAGTGAGTCATCTACCCTGAACACTCTTTTACAGACTTTAAAATAAAGATCCACATGTACTTCAGCTTATAGGACAGATCCAATAAATGCAACCTTGACTCATGGAAGAAATCTAACCGTCGAAAAATAAACCCACACCAGGATCTTCTCGGTTATCCCGGACCCAGGAAAGAGGGAGCAGGGACCGGGCTTCCAGGCTTCACTCCTGAAGGACAGCTGGACATCTCAGCCCCACCTGGGAGGATGCTTTGGTCTACTTCTCAGGTTGCCGCCTGACGATTGGTGGCTGGCCTGGAAGGGAGGGTCCGCAGGAAACGCGACACTGGGGATGTTGCCCCTATCACATGATGGAAATTTCCACTCTTTAGAAAGGCGAAAAGAAAAGAAAGAAGGGTCTCTCCATCCATCCCTTTCTGATACTTTCCCTGAATCCCAGTCTGGAAAGGGTAGTAAAAGAGGCGGGTGAGTGAATTTTTTTTTGTATTTCCTGTTAGACTTGAGACTTGTCAGTGTCCAAACTTGCAGCTGGATCCCAGCCTATCGGATGGGTGCTTGTGTGTATGCACGGGGGACATCCACACGTGTGTAGCCCGGTCTCTCAATCATCTGGGGCTTATGTCTGGGGCTCTTCATGACATGCTCATAGTTCCTAATTCTTATTATTTTCCAAACATTCACGCTTTGGGTGGGTTATTGCAGGCTAATGATTCGGTTGACTAGAAATAACGTAAACTAGGGCACATGGAGGGAAGAGACTGATTGGGCGGGCTCATGTGTGACTTCTTTTCAAGGAGAAGCGGTTGTGCCAAGGTAGCCTATTCCAGGAGGGCTGGGGTATGGGGCACCTCCGCCTCCCGCACTGGGATTCCCTGGGCTGTTGGATTTCGAGTTGGTTGTATTGGGACTGCGTTCCGTGGCCGCGCCGCCTGCCTGGCTGAGAGGCCCGACTTCCCCCGCGGGAGCTGGCTCCGCGACCGCCCGGGATCCTGCTGGCAAGGTGTTACCCGAGTCCCTGGACCCGCGCCCGCGTCCTCAGGTCGGGGACACTGGGTGGAAGGCTTAAAATAGAACTGTCGTCTCTGATAGCTGGGTCGCCCCAGAGACCAGCATGATTCCCCGGGCGGGGTACTCTGACCTGGGGAGCCCCCAAGGAGTCTCTTTCAAGGGAGAAGGCGAGAGCAGAGCTGGATGTGGGCCCCTGGTCTCTGGGCGGTGGGCGAGTCTGAAAACTGCGCCAGCGGTTCCGAGGGCGGCTTACCGCGCGGTCGGATTGCCCGGCCTGCTGCGCGCTGGAGTGAAGGGCAGGGCGGTGCAGAAATGCGAACGGGGACGGATAGTGGGGTCGCGGCAACCGAGCTAAGAGAAGCCTAGGGAGGAGGGGCAGAAGGCGGGAATTGATTACAGGTTAGAGCTGATGGAGGAAAAATTGAGAGAAGAGCGAATGAAGGAAGAAAGTGAGACGGGGGAGAGGGAACCCGGACCCGGGAAGCCCCGAGAAGCGTAAGCCGGGAGCACCCTTGAGTCCAGGAGAGGTGGCGAGCGCGGCACACCAGCTGTGCGCCCAGGCAGCGCGCGGTGAGGTACTCTTCATCTAGCGGTGGTACAGGTGGACGCTGCGCTCTGGGCCAGGGCAGGTGCCGGTTGTGGGGGAAAACGGCGAATCTCCCAGCTCCTCTTTGTGATCCAGCAGGCAGAGATGGAAGATTGCCCTTACTTTGAGCACCAGGACTGACCCTGGAATGCTCACCGGGCTGCTGACTTGGAGGAAAAGGGGTGAACTAAGTTAGGAAACTCAGGGATACGTGGTCGCGGGTGTGCCAGGGCATTTGCAGAGGAGTGCAGGAGGCAGTGATGCGGGCACTTGTGAAACTTGTGAACTTGAGCACTTGTGAATCTCCCGGCTAGGGCCGGGACAGGTTGGCGCTTGTCTATTTCTCAGAGTAAAAGCTGCATCTCTACCTGTCTCAGGGAGATATTAAATGCCGAGGTCTTAAATGCACAGTGTGAAGGTAGTAGGAGTGGCTCTAGAGCAATAAGCCCATCCTGGCAGGCACTTCCCGCAGACTCTCCCTAGCCCAGAGCCCCATCCTCCAAGGCTAAAGGACCCACTGCTTGGTTATCCACTTAGTTGTGCGGACGGGGGCGGGTGGGCAGGCAGTTTCTCACCTTAAAGGAAGCGGAAAGAGGCCAGAGCTTCAACAGTGGATGGCCTGTTCCCGATTTCTAGCTATCCTACAGCCATCCTTTTTTGCTTCTGGGTAGCTGTGACATAATCATTAGGGCTAAAATGTGTTATGTTGTAAAGAGAGCATCCTACACATAGATCTCAATTTCCAGGGCCTAGCAGGGGGTGGGAGAAATCAGCCTATGTTGTATTTTGTTGTTGTTCCCACTACAAGCAAGTCTCCTAAAAAGTCGCTGAAATTGGTGAACTCTTTCCTGTGCAACACAAGAAGAGTGTGTGTGTGTGTGTGTGTGTGTGTGTGTGTGAGAGAGAGAGAGAGAATTTCTTAAATTCTAACAAATAAATCTATAGAAAATCTAAGTTTTGGGTAGAAGTCTGTAAAAATAGAGACATTGAAAAGAATATCTGATCTTTCCATATTTCTGAATACCAGTGTCCAGAGAAAGGAAACTTTTTATCAGGCTGATTTTATCACAAAGCAACAAAAGGCTGGAAGATTGGTGGTGTAAAGAGATAAATAACTTTTTTTGGAGGCTGCTGGGACAGGAGGCAAGCTGGAGGCTGGTCTGAACTAGATTAATGGTAATTCCGGCTCACACATATGTAGGAACTTTTACATTATATGTTTCTAAGTACTTCCTTTATGTTAACATTTGACCTTCATAACAAACTTATGAGATAGATTCTATTATTATACCCATTTTATAGATCAGAAAATGGAGATACACAGTGTGAAGAACACAAAATATTTTGGAAGTTCTACTTGGGCATTAATTGTTCATAAACGTAAATGAACAATTCTTTGTTCTTTATCAAGGGCAGAGCTGGACAGGTGACTTCTAAGGACCTGGGGCTGACTTCTTATTCTATTACAGACTAATCCTATTCCAAGCAAGCTAAAGACATGATCACGCAGCTGGACTCTCTGAATCTTTGCAGTCTTAGGACTGGACTTTTTTCTATATAAGTGACATTTGAGAAAGGAATAGTGTACCTGTGTTCCATGTCAGTTTATCAGCACAAACGTGGTGAGGACAATCACAGTACACTTAACAGCTTGTGGACTTCGTGATGTACACATAACAGCTTGTGGACGTTGTTTTTTTCTTTTTGCCTTATCCTATTTTTAGAACCTTAACCCTCCTTTTTTTTTTTTTTACTTTTTACATATCCAAAGCAAATATTTCTATAAAAATCAAAGGCTGTTATATATTTTATATACATCAAAACAATAATATATCAAAATGATTACACAGTTTTAAAAAATGTGCTTCCACCTATCAATTGAAATCATCTTGCAAGCCACTACTGCCCTGATGATGTTCTGCAGGAAGGATAAGAGGTAGAAGTAGGGGAGGGACAAGTGAAAGGAAAGGTGCTTTAAGAGCCAGTCTTTATACTAAGCCCTTTAATGTGAATCTCATTTAATCTTCACATGATACTCTATTCTATAGGTATTTGTTATCTCTGTTTTACAGACAGGAAATTGAAGAGGTTAAGGAAAGAGCCAAGAGTCACAAAGCTAGTAAGTAACAATGCTGATATTAGAATAAAATTCATCCTATGCAAAAGCTCCTGCTTGTTGCAATAAAGACAGCAGTAAAATAAAGACAACCAGAGGGAGGAGAACAAAAACTTAAGGAAACAAGGGTGTTAGAAATGTGTTACATAACACAGTATGGTGTGAGAGATAGGAGAAATGGAAAAACAGAATCACTTTCATGTCTCTTAGTTCTTTCTTCCACTGTGTATATAATGACCTAATTTCACTCATTCATTCCATAAATAATTATCAAGTGTTACTATCTTCAAAGAACTATATTAGGGAGTTTCTTTTATTCCTATCTTCCTAGCACCTAGCACAGTGCTGGGCAAATACCAGGTGCTCAAGAAATATTTGTGGAACAATGAATGAGTCTACTGGAGGAAAGAATAGATAAGGAAACATTTGCAATACAGCATGATTAAAAACCAGGGAAAAGGCTGGGCACCGTGGCTCATGCCTGTAATCCCAGCTCTTTGGGAGGCTGAGGAGAGTGGATCACCTGAGGTCAGGAGTTCCAGACCAGCCTGACCAATATGGTGAAACACCATCTCTACTAAAAATTACAAAAATTAGCTGGATGTGGTGACGTGCGCCTGTAGTCCCAGATACTCGAGAGGCTAAGGCAGGAGAATTGCTTGAACCCAGGAGGCAGAGGTTGCAGTGAGCCAAGATCATGCCACTGCACTCCAGCCTGGGCGACGGAGCGAGACTCCATCTCAAACAAACAACCAACCAACAAAACAAACAAAAATAAAAATAAAAAAAAGGAAAAATCAGATTTGAATACTCTACCAGAGAACCTGGCTTAGGAAAGGGGTCAGAGAACATTTCAAGACCAGGTGGTACCTGAGCAAGGTTTTGAAGTAGAAATAAAAGTTAGCCAGGCAAAGAATTGGAGGATGTGAGGAAAGGACTCTCAGTGGAGAGACCAGACTGAGAAAGGATAAGGAGGGAGTCAGTTCAGGAATTTAAGAGTTCAGTACTCTTAGTCAGTAGAGAATGCTTGGGAGGAGGCTGGGGAGGGAGGTGTGGTCAGGGAGATCCTTGCACATTCTCTCTGCAAGTGTCCCTTAGCTCTGCCCCTCCCCTGAATTTTGAAAGTTACCTGTGCTAACAGAACAAAGTAACTGAACATAGGAATTAGCAATACATTTTATTATTTTATTATGGCCCCATAATAGAAAGCATACAGCTTTTTTGATTGCTTTTAATGTTAGGATTTAAAACCAGTGCTCAAATGGAAAGATAAGACAACAAAGTCTTATCTTTCCATTTGAGGGAAAACCAAATTATTTTTCTGGTTCTCAAGGGCATATTCTATTTTAGCATAGATAAAATTTACACAAACATACAACAAAATCCAAACAAATGTTCTTCTATGCTTTTATGAGGGGAGAGGTGGAGGGGATTTCTCTTCTGATTTTAGTTTTTAATGGCTATATTTTTCATTTTAGTATATTATAGCAGAGTCAGGAAGTACAAATGTATTTTTAAAAGGTGATGTAGGGAATTGAATGACAGTAACAAATGCTATCCTTTTATCTTTTTAGTAGATGTTTATGCCAGTCAAGATCCTGGGTTTTCATAACAGACTTTGACAACTTTTGTTTTGTAAGGATCTATTATTCCAGGTTTTTATTCCAAGCTCAGAGGTCTGCATACCTCTTTACCATATCCATGCTTGTAAAATACTCTTGGTCATAATGTTATTAGGAAGGGAATTCAATTACTTCTACCACCCAAAGCATTATTTGAAATGTTAGCAAATGTCCATACGAAATGTTTTTCGATAGCGTGATTTCCTCTATCATAACTAAAACAAAGGAAAAAGGAGAGGAGATGGAAAAAAGAACTAAATAATACTCATGCCAGACAGTCCAGCCCAGAGAATGTCATTCCCTGTATATGATTATTTCTTGTTGGCTATTTCTGCCTATTGTTCCCAATAAATCTAATGTGTATTCATGATTAAAATGACTATTATCTCAGTTCCCTTGTTTCCCCTCAATTTTGTCTCTTTTGTTCACTACTGTCACCCTGATGCCTAACACAGTGCCTGGTATAAACAGACACTGGTACATGTTTGTTGAATGAATGAAGGAAGAAAGAAAACATGTTTCTTTCTGTTTTTTGACAGAAAATATTCTTCAAATAAACATTTTTTTCATGGACCTACTAAAGGCCTTTGCAAAATGATTTTGTGCATTGTTTATAGTCAATACAAATACTTTTAAATTGTTTACTTAATTTGCATGATTGCACATGATTAAGAGTATAAGCTTGGTAGGCAAGGTAATGTGGATATGAATCCTAATGCCATCATAAAGTTGGGCTTCCTGGGCTCAGATCTTGACTCTACCATCCAACTTCCTGGGTTCCAATTTTGGCTCTCCCACTTTTTGCCTGAGTTACCTTGAGCAAGTCAGTCCACTTTATTGCTTCACTCATCTCTGAAATGGGGAAAATAATAGTTCCAACCTCACAGGGATTTTAGGAGGATCAAATTAGTGAATATTTGTAAAACATTTAGAATCATATCTGGCACTTTTTAAAACAACAGCTATGGTATAGAATTATTGTGATGATGATACTGCATGGCACGTAAACACTCAATAAAATAGGATTGCTACTATAGATATTATCGCAATTCTTCATTTCTATAATCTGCTATGAAGATTTGGGGCCCTAACAGCCTTTCCATGTTTTGGTCCAGTGAAAGTCTTATTGTTTCTACCTTCCCTTTCACTCGTAACTCTTTCTACCCACCCTGTGTTTGTCCTGTCATTTTGCCTTGCGTCATTTATTCATTTTACACTGCATACTCCTAAGGGCAGGGACTTTGCTCTTTGTTTTGGCATAATTTAATAACACTGGGTACACTCGCGGTACTATAAAGATGTTGAAGAAAAAGAAAAAAGACGCAATTTACCAACAGGCAACTTTGGCTTACGGCGGGATAGGTCGCTGTTCTGTCTGCAATGTTGGTACTCCTGCAGGCCGCCCAGCAGCATCTAGGGGCGTGGCTGGGGGCTCTCCAGTGACCGCACGTCCTGGGCGGCCACTGGGGTGTGCGCAGCGCCTGGAGCATGAGCCGGGTGGTGGCGTGCACGGAGGATCGCGGGAGGCTGCCGCCTCGGGACACCCCACTCACACAGGTTTGCTTGCTGCTTTTGCGTGGCAACTTGGTTAGAGGGTCCAGGAGAGTGGGTGAGACGAACGTGGAAGGGGAAAGAGAAAAAGACATACTGCAAAGCACTGAAAAACGAGGTGGGTGGGAGGGATTCATTAAGAAGAGAGGCTGTGGCAGTCCTTGCTTTTAAGAAGCGTTTCGTGCATGCTAGATAGTGCTATTCAGGCTATAGTCTTGTTTCTGGAATTTTTCCAAATGGGAGGAATGTGTTTCAAGGATGCAGAGTATTCTTTAAAACCGTATGACCAAACTGACCTCTATTGTTAAAGGGATCTAACTAAAAGGGTTCGTGTTTCCCACTTTGCTTTGTGAATGCCTGAAAAGCAATCCAAAGGTTGAGAACACTGGAAAACAGAGCTATTTTATTGCAGTCCTGAGAATGCAGTCATTACTGTTTTATTCCTTCTTATCTTTTGAAGCAATACTTTAGTAATTCTTTAGTAACAGTATGCTTTAAAGAAGGTATCTGACACATTTTTGGCATGTGCCACTATGCTATATTTCATTATTCTTTCTGTACAGAGGCATCTGTAAGGAATATATATATATATATAAACTTTGTATATTAAAGTAATTATAAATTTGCATCCAGTTGCACAGAGAGGCCACCTAAACCTTTCACCTGGTTTCCTCCAGGGGTTACATCTGACACACTTTAGTACAATATTAAACCCAGGAAGCTGACATTTAAACTTCGTATATTAAAGTAATTATAGGTTCGCATCCAGTTGCACAGAGAGGCCACCTAAACCTTTCACCTGGTTTCCTCCAGTGGTTACACCTGACACACTTTAGTACAATATTAAACCCAGGAAGCTGACATTTAAACTTTGTATATTAAAGTAATTATATATTTGCATCCAGTTGCACAGAGAGGCCACCTAAACCTTTCACCTGGTTTCCTCCAGTGGTTACATCTGACACACTTTAGTATAATATTAAACCCAGGAAGCTGACATTGGAATAATGTGTGTATAGTTTCTATGCCATTTTGCCACATGTGTAGATTTGTGCAATCTGACCCACTATAGGCCTGTCAAGATGCAGAACTTCCACCTGTATCTTGCATAAGATCTCCCTTGTTCCACCTCTTTATCATTATCTCCACCTGCTCCTCGCTACCCCGGCAACCACTTGTTTTCCATCTCTATATTTTCATCGTTCTGAAACTATTATATAAATGGAATCATACTGCATGTGATCTTTTTGAGACTGAGTTTTTTTCTTTTTACACTCAACTTGATGCTCTTGAGATCCATGCAAGTTATTGAGTAGATGGATAGTTTGGTCGTTTTTCATGCTAAGTAGCATTCCAGTTGTTTGACTCTATCTAGTGCTGCACATTTTCCTTTGCTTTTTAAATCAGTGAAACTTGGAACTTCAGTGGGATTAAGGAGGTACTTGAGGGCACTTGAAGAGGTGAAAAGTGTGAGGACGAAATGTGAATATTTTTATTTTCAAAATGACATTTGTTTGTGTTAGGGCAAAAGGATGTATACACTCCATCTTCATTTAAAACACTGGAGGATTGGAAAGGAGAAAAGGAACAGGACAGAAAAAAAGTATGTACTTAGACAATAAGGTATAAAATCTAGTACCTTTTAAAATTTTTACATTGGTACAGTAATCTGTTACTTTACCTTAGTTAAGACATTTCAGAGTTCTTGAAATGAATCAAAACAATGCCTCTGCAATCGGAAGTTCCCTGCCTATCTATGCTCAGACACATACTGCCAACTGAGGGACAGTGGCATGGCTGGAAATGACAGTGAGTAGCTATTGGGTTTGACAGGGGTCACCCAGAGCCCAAAACAGCATCTTTAGCCCAAGGGCAACTATCAAGGGCAGATGTTCAGGTTCAGAGACTGTCAGTGTTACACTACTTTCACCTCCACCTCATCTGCTGCTGGGAGGAGGTCTCCCAGAGGTCCCTTCAAATCAGGTTTTAAAATGAAATGTTATTCTTTATCTGCATGCTCACAAGCATGAGAAACCTTGAAACTGGAGGCTGTAACTAGCCAAGGGAAATGCATCACTTCTGAATAGTACCTGGAAGGCTTAGGCTAAATCCCTCCCTTCAGCCCGTACCCATTGAAGAATTCCTCCCACCTCCAAAGAGAGAAGAGAACAAAATATCCACTACTATCTGAAAGCATTTGTAAATATCCCGTTGAGGTTTCGGAATTTCACATTCTGGAATTTCAGAGACATATTGTCAATTCACAGAACGAAACAGTCAGTCTGGAGCCCTGACTAGACTTGAGTTTAACTGAATGCATTGCCCTGAGTCTCTGTTTTAATGATTTCTGTTACCAGAAAAATATTCCTTGTCCTAAATCTTGGGAAAGGATGGAGTGTAGCTGGCAATGGTGGTTCCAAAGTCTCAACATGAAGAAACATCACAGCTAAAATAATTTATAACTCTTTTTATAGGTAGATCTGCTTTTCTGAGTCTTTTGAAATGGAATAGAATCATTTGTGCTGTCTTTATAATGTATTTTATTTTAAGTAAACATTAGATATCTCACATTGCTTTGCAGGCTGTTCTTCTGGGTCATATCTCCTGTGTGTGTGGGCAGGGCAGATAATTTAATCCTATAAACTTGAGGGAATGAACACTTCTCTGTAAGTCACGAGACCAAACAAAAGACCCACTGAATTTTGCATACCGCTCTTATACTGTTTACTTATTTGACTAATGATGACAGTCATTAGGAAGGTGTGATAAGAAATGTAAATATATTGACTATGATGCTCAACATTGCAGGCATTGTTTTTTACAGGGTGATGGGAGGGTTGTTTTCTGATTTTTTAAAGCTTTTTCTTTGAAGGGAAGTAATGCAGTTTTTGAAAGAAAAGTAAAATAGAAATGCCTTATGTGCATTGTATAATTACTTTTAAACTATATGTTAAACTGTGTATGTTGCATAATTACTTTAAAACTATTTCATAATATTATCATGGTACCCACATTGAAGAATTAAACCAAATATAATGCTTTCCATTATTCTTTATACCAAAATTCCTTAAAGTTTAAACTTCTTAATCTGGTAGTCAAGATCAACCTCAGCCAAACTCTATACAAACATTCTATTTTAGCTGAAGTAGACTCTTGTTTGTTGTTTCCAAGGTCAAACTTCTGATCCCATGTCCCCTGCCTGGAATCCACTCTTCTGTCTCTGAAGTCACACCATTCTTCCTATACAAAACCTACTCTATTTGCCTCAGCTCTCCAGTTCATTTCCACGTGTCTTGGAGACAGGGATCCTATCTTTTGAATCATGTTCAACATAAAGTAGGTGCCCAGTGGTGATGGACTGTCTTAGGAGCTGGGCTCAGAAGTTAGACAGTGGGTTGTGAGTTTTGGCTCAGCTATCATGCCAGGACCTTATTAGCTTTGGTCTTTGAGTAAGTTGTCTCTCAACCCTAATTGCTGTCATAAGAAGGGGTAGGGTCCCTTTATGCCTATCAACTAGGAAGACAGAATCTCCAGTTACCCACCCACTGAGACAGAAACAAATAGAAGGAGTCTTCCCATCTTAGGTCTCATAAAAATATGTATGTTTGGCACAGATTTTATTTTTGGTAAGAGATTCTAGCTTTATTCTATTCCTGTGACTGTATCTTAAATAATTACCCTTTGTTAAGTGATTGGAACCCTATGTGTACGTGTGTGTCAAAATAACACCCTCCCAAAGATGTCAAAAAAGCGAATTAAGGGGTGTGGTGCATACATGCACATTTCATATGCATACATTTCATGATCTTACATGTAGAAGAATCCTAAAGACCCCACAATAAACTCTTGAATCTAGTAAGCAAATTCAGTAAAGTTGCAGGATACAAAATCAACATACAAAATCAGTTAGATTTCTATATGTTGACAATGAACTATTCTGTCAGGAAATTAACAAAACAATCACGTTTATAGTAACATTCCTAAGGAATGAACGTAATTAAAGAGGTAAAAGTCCTATGTACTGAAAACTATAAAAGGTAAATGAAAGAAATTAAAGCAGAAAATAAATGGGAACACATCTTGGGTTAATGGAATGGAAGACTTAACATCGTTAAAATGCCCATACTATCCACAGTGAGCTACAAATTCGATGCTGTCCTCATCAAAATCCCAATGGCATTTTTTACAGAAATAGGAAAAATAATCATAAAATTTATATGGAACCATGAAAGACTCAAAATAGCCAAAGTGATTTTATTAAAGAACAAAGCTGGAGCCATCATACTTCCTGATTTCAAAATATATTACAAAGCTATAGTAACTGAAAAAATATGGTACCAAAAAACAAACAAGACAACAAAAGCTGTATGGTATTGGCATAAAGAGAGTGATAGATCAATAGAATGGCATAGAGAGCCCAGAAGTAAGCCCACACATATATGGCCAACTGATCTTCAACAAGGGTCCCAAGAACACACAATAGGGAAAACATAGCCTCTTCAACAAATGGTGTTGGGAAAACTGTATATCCACATGCAAAAGAATGAAATTGGACCTTTATCTTACATCATAAACAACAAAAAACTAAAAATGGATTAAAAACTTGAATGTAAGACTTGAAACTGTAAAACTCCTAGGATAAAACATAGGGAAAAACTTTTTAACATTGGTCTTAGCAGTGATTTATTGGATATGACACCAAAAGCACAGGCAAAAAAGCAAAAATAGACACGCAGTACTACATCAAACTAAAAGGCTTCTGCACAGCGAAGGAAATAATCAATAGAATGAAAAGGCAACCTGCGGAATGGGAGAAAGTATTTGCAAACCATGTATCTGATGAAATTAATATCCAAAATATATAAGGAACACCTACATAACAAATAACATGATTTAAAAAAGGATCGAAGGACTTGAATAGACATTTATTCAAAAAGACATACGAATGGCCAACAGGTATATGAAAAGATGCTCAACATCAGTAATCATCAGGACATGCAAATTAAAATCACAATGAAATATCACCACACACACATTAGGACGGCTATTATCAAAAACACAAAAGATAACAAATGTTAGCAAACATATGGAGAAAAGGGAACACTTGTACACTGTTGGTGCGGATATAAATTAGTACAGGCAATATGGAAAACAGTATGGAGGTTCCTAAAAAATGAAAAATAGAACTACTATATGATCCTACAATCCCACTTTCTGGGTATATATCCAAAAGAATTGAAATCAAAATCTCAGAGCGATACCTGCACTCCTATGTTCATTGCTGCGCTATTCACAATAGCCAAGTTATGGAAACAACCCAAATGTCCATGGACAGATGAATAGATAAAGAAAACGTGGTATATACATAAAATGAAATATTACCCAGCCTTGATAAAGAAAGAAATCCTGCTATTTGTGACAACATGGATGAACCTGGAGAACAATATGCTAAGTGAAATAAGCCAGTCACAGAAGGACAAATCCTGCATGACTCCAATTATATGAAGTAGCTAGAGTAGTCAAACTCAGAAGCAGAGAATAGAATGGTGGTTACCAGGGGCTGGAAGAAGTGGGGAATGGAGAGTTGCTCTTAAATTGGCATAAAGTTTTAATTATGCAAGATGAGTTAGTTCTAGAGATCTGCTGTATAGCATAATGCCTATCGTTAGGCACGAAAGTGTTGTTAATAGGGTAGATTTCATGTTAAGTGTTCTTATCTCAAACAAAACTAAACAAAAGGACACAAAGAAACTTTTGAAGGTGATGGATATATCTATTACATTGACCATGGTGACAGTTTCACAAGTGTATAGACATGTCCAATCTCATCGTTGTATACATTAAGTATGTATAATTTGTTTTATATCAGTCATACCTCAATAAAGCTGTTAAAACAACACAGTGAGGCCCACTTTAAAATCAAAATTTTGTTGCACATAATTTAACTTTTCAATGTTTCAGAGTGCCTCGGAGTCATCATTATAAATTTCATCTATAATGGCACAACTCAAGAGTGCTAGTTAATTAATACTTCTGGTTGACTGAAAGAATTTGTAGTATCTTCTTTCAAACTTTCGAGGGAACTATCAAGAAAACTATGTGTAGTAGTTCCAAACTAGGAAATTTAAACAAATCTTTTCAATTGGGAAATTTTTCAACATTCCCAAGTACAGAGAATAGTGTAATGAATCTCCAGCTTCACTTGGTTTCAACAATAATCAATACTTGTCTGTTGTAGTTTATCTATACTCACATCTTTTCTCCTCTGCTACCCCACCACAATCATTACTAAATTATTTCCAAGACGATCTAAGTCATCATATAATCTGATCCATGAATGATCACTATGTATCTCAAAAAGAAAAGAACTCTTTAAGAATAACTAAAATATCATCACATCTTAAATATAACCAACATTTATTTTCTTATTTTAATTTTTAATTGGTATTTAATAATTGGTACAGAATGATATATTGATACATATATATAATGTGTAATGATCAAATCTGGGTAATTAGCATATTCATCAAACCAACATTTTCTTAATATTATCAATTATTCATGCAGTGTTCATTTATTTCTCATATTCTCTCTCTCTCTCTCCCCCTCCCTCCCCTTAGTTAGTTTGAATCAGAATCCAAACAGGGTTCTCACTCTCATTGGTTGATAAGTCTTTTAAGTCTCTTTCAGTCCTCAGAGTTAATAACTTCTCATGTCTTTTTTCCACATCTTACGTTTTATTTGATGATGAAATCTAGTTGTCTTACAGAATTACCCATATTCTGAATTGTGTTGATTTACATGACTTTTAAAATGTCATTCTCAAACTCCAAAATTCTGCCTTCTTCAATCTAACCCTCATAAAATTGATTCCCTTTTTTTTAAATTGCAAATTGTCATTTCTTCTTCTGTTGCCCTGAGGATCCTCCAGGCTATATGTTGCCTAATTTTGATCAATTCCACTTTAATACCCATGATTTACCTAACATTTCTTCCTGAAAGAACTCAGCCTGTCTGAAGTGTCCTTTCAATCAGGTTTCAAAATGTACTGGTCTACTCACCCAGAGGCACTTGCTCAACTTTCTGTAAGATTGCAAGATATAACCAGTAAACACTAAGTGTTGTTTTGATTTTTAAAATTGTCCCACATGGCTACATTTTAAAAGTATTTTTCTATTACTGATATACATAGAAATATTTATTATGCAATTATGTATCTGGGATTTACCTTAAAATAATGGGAGAGGGGGCACAGTGGTTTAGATGTAATGATTGGCCACAGTTGATATTGGATAATGCCAGCTGAGGGTTCCTTATATTATTCCATCTACTTATGTTTAAATTTAAATTTTTTCATAATAAAGAAGTAAAAATGAGTTGTACTATATTACCAAAACTAAGTAATCAGACCTTTCACTTTGGGGTCTAGATTATAACACTTTTGCCAAGGATCATGAAAAATCATGTTTAAGGAACAATTTACTTGCTTTTCTCATTCTGCAAATCTGATTTAGCTAAAATAATCAGCATATAAATAATATTTAAATAAAATAGGGAACTGGTTTGGGATGAATGAAAATATGACTCATATAAAGGTGGTTCATAGGTTTTGTCTAAGCTGCTTCTCTTAAGACTCTAGTGTGGCAGAACTCACTGACATGCCCCTGTAACCTACCAATAGTTTACAGAATACTCCCAGAAGATGAGTGACAGCAAGACACAAACCATTGGATTATCTCATAACAAACAAATGCTAGCATGGATTATGAAGGTCACACTTACATGTTCTCCCTACTACAATGACAGATGAACATGCAGGTCTTATTTTCCCAAGATGAAAGTCAAAAGCAAACTTTTACAAAAACCTGTCATCTTCTCACTTTTGTATTATTTCTCTTTATTCTATTCAACTCTTGAAAAAATAAGCAAATTTAACACTTTATGTTTACTCAATTCACCTATACTAGAAAATATTTTTAAAGAACATATAACCTTTATTAATAATAATTTTCTATTACTTTATTAGTATATCTAAGTAATTTTACTAATAGGAATTAATTTTAACTGCAGTCAGCTATGCAAAAATCATAGTATGAATTTGCTTCAATGTATCTTTTAGGAAGTTGCATGAATTTAACATCATATATGCAAATCCCAGTCAGTCTGATTAAGAATAATTAAGAGAAAAAGAGTAAGACCCAGGGGCTCACTGATAGAAAGGGAATATAAATGGAAGCACAGTGAGAGGAGATCCTTTTGTCCAAAGGCTTAGAAGACATAAGAGGCTCCTGGGGCTTCAGGTAAGGCCTTAGAACTGGGTTTTGGTTTCAGGGGAGGGAGCAACAATAAGTGCAAGAAGGGTTGGCAATTTGTACCTTGTGATATCGTTTTCGTGCACCAGGTTAAAAACCTCTGCTTTGAGAGGCAGAGGAACAAGCTTGAGAAATATCTACTCATCTAGACCTAGTAGGTCAATTAAAGTTATCAGAAGTTTCTCCCTGTCAAGCATCTAGTGAGTCCTGTTCCTGAACCAACACTGGGAGTTAGCAAGCAGGAGACAATTCCTCTAATCCATAAAATCAAAAAGGCATTGGATGTCTTGATAGAAAAAGGCCAAACATTTCCTCTGGTATGTGTTTATCTACAACAAAGTCGTATGAGTTTGCTGTTGTTGGAACTCTTGTACAGAACCACTCTAGAAACTTTTTTAGTGAGCAAAAGGTGGGAACTCAAAATTTAATTGTATTTATTATTGCCACTTAAAACTATGTAAAAATATCATTGGTGATTTTTTTTTACTTTTATTTGTGTGAAAATGTTTTACAGATATACACAAGCCTGGCCCCAACTGCATAAACCATATCTTCCCCTTAAGCTATTAAGCTACTCTACCTGAAATTTTCCGGTCATGGACTTTTCAGGAATTTGATTCCCTCAACTGGGTAAGAGGTTATTCTATGCCAAGATCTCCCAATACCTCTGAGCTGTTACTTCCTACATAGTTACTTTCTGAATTTTTCATCAGAATTGAAATTAAAAGCCCATTTGGTGCCCCTTTGTAATTCTCTCAGTAAGACTAATATATATGCATATATTTCTGAGTTTCTACCATTATAAATATTTTGTTTTGCAAAAAAATTTAGAAAACCGTTCAGTAGCCATGTGAATACATTTTTTATTACTCCTTTATTCTCCACTAGAATTAACTGAGCAAAAATAAATGAGTGCACACCTTCTAAATAGGGAAAATGGGGAAACAGTCAAGTGTGGTAGGCTTCAAATTCCCTATAAGGTTTAGGCCACCAAATATGCTGATTGAGGCCGAAAGAAGGCCTAATCAGCTGCCCGTATTTTTATTTCTATAGAAGTTGAAGCAACGTTTTATGCATATACTTTAGAAATAGGTATAGAATGTTTTTTGTCTGTTTTTTAAAGTTTTTTGAGGTTCACTTTTCACAAATTATACTTCAGACATACAGAAAGTGTCAGGCAAAAGAAAACAAAGACATTATATTTATGTATTATGCTTTTTCTAAAGTGACAGTCATGACCCCAAATTCTTACATGTATGGTTTTGTGTTTTTTGCCAGAGTCAATATTATGCATCCAAATATTACCCTTTAAGATTCCTTTTGTAAAGTAATAATAATAAGTAACTTAGAAATTTTCTAAGGGTTTAGAAGTATTCTATGGTCTCATATTAAAATATTGCTGCTATACACATTTCCATTTTGCAGAATATCTCATTGGTGCCTATCACTAACATATTTTTGTATGTTTCTTTAAAAGAAAAAGTTTTCTTTATCTTAGAAACACGTATACTCTTTGTGTTGCAGACATTGCTATGGCAAGTCCATATATTTTATTAAATGTCAGACTACAGTTAACAGATGTTGCAGCAGTGCTGGAGGAATTAAGACCATGTCAGCATTTCTCTTTAAATATATATTTTTTCAGGGCTTTCTATGTATGAAACGTTAACTCCTTAACAAGTTAACACAAGACAAGGAATGCTAATGCCCAAGTGGCTGGATATTTTAAGGGACCTACTAAAGAAAGCCATCTCTCCTGGGGACCTGTTAATATTATTAATAACAAAAGTTGGGAACCATTCCTGAAATGTTTGCCTGGAGGCCTACGAATTAAATTTGTCATCTGATTTTTAGCCAAGAAATACAGAATTAAATTTTTGAATTGGAGTTTAGTTATTTAATATTTGATCGTTATTCTGAATTCAAAATAATCTACTGCTTATGAATAGATTCCCTTAAAATATTGTGTGCCTAGGCGATTTTATGGAGTCCACTGATTTAAAAATATACAGCCAACAACAACAGCAACTAATATTTATTTAGCTCTTACTCTATCCCAGGCCATATTCTAAGGTTGTAAATTATCTCATTGAAGAAAAGTAAATAAACTAGACACATGCCTTCTTTACTAAGTTACTGCTCTGTGCAAAAATAAAAAAGGAAGAAAGGGAAGGATGGAAGAGAGGAAGGGAAGAGTTGAATAACGAGCAAAAAGTGGTCTTAATTTACCAGTCTACTCAAGAGATAAAAGGAAGGCCATCTCAATATGATTCATATTCTCAATCTCTGTGTGTGTGTGTGTGTGTGTGTGTATATATATATATATATATATATATATATATATATATATATATATCCTTTAGCCATTTATAATCCTTGAAAAGTCATTTTGCCCAAAAATCTAGTTAATACAGTATACTATCTCATATACATCTTCTATTCAATTATTCTCAAATAATTTTAGCAACCATAACATAGAATAACTGTGATTACATGAGATAATGCAAAGCTTTGGAAGAAAATTGTTTTTTAAGCATTTTAGGTGAAAACTCATGCCACAAAGCCATGGTACGTGATCTATTTCTCCACACTGAAATGAATAAAACTCCTCATTTCTAAATCTCAAAGAATGAGTGAAACTGGACCTAATAAAGTATTTGACACCACAGCCTTTTAGTCTTCAGCTCAAATTCTAAGCAATCTTAGCCAGGTTAACCTCAAATTAATGAGAAGTAGCATGTATGCATGCTTGCAAGACTGCCTTGAATTTAAGAGATGTAAAGATGGGAGATTCCCATGTATCTTGTCCAAGACAAGCATGTTGTCTTGTTTGATCAAGAAACTGCCTCAAAGAGAGCCAGTCATCCATTCTTGCTGCCAGCTAATCCATGCACTGATTCATAATGATTAAAAACGTCTTATATTTGATTCTACTGAATGTGATTAGACCAAAACTGTGTGGCTGTTTTGGCAATTAGTACTAAAATGCTCAGCAACATCAAATGGTACAGTGTGAGTGAAATGTAGGTCACTTACTTTAGCATTTGGAAAGTGTGTCGTGGTACATCTTTGGGTCTTCATGTTTTATCAATCTCACAAAAAAGATTAACCCAAAGCAAAGCCAACCAACCCCCCAAATCTGCCAGTACACTTGCATGTTTAAACACTGGCGCTGATGACAGGTTCAGGGGTAAATATGTACCATGGGGCTGTTCAGCTTCACAGGTTGGTTAATATTAAACAAACACATATTGCAAACTGTGCCTTGTTATGAGGTTGTTTTCTGAGATTCCAGGGGTCAGGGTCAAATCCTCACATTTTTCACCTTTTCCCCAGTGCCAACCAATAGTATAACAAGTGAAATAATAGTCTAATACACAGTAACAATACACTTTCAAAGCAAAAAGTGTTGAAGCTAATTTAATTCTATAATCTATTTTGCTAATGTCATTTCACTTTTATAAAAAAGAACAATAGAAATACCTTGTATGTTTATAATGCTGTATATCCAATACATCATTTAACCCTCACAATAACCTTGTCTAAGTTTTCATTAGACCCAGTATTAAAGAGAAAACTGAGTTCCGGAATATTTGCATGACTTTACTTATTCAAAAAAGACTTATTAAATCGGTATCATATTAGGTATTGAAGTCAGAGACAATTCTTTAAATATGCATGTATAACAAATGCTCACAAATGTTCACTATGTGCCAGATGCTCTTCTCAATGCTCTACAAATATTAACTTACTTAATCCTCATAACAGCACTGTGAGGTAGGCACTATTATTATCTCCTTCTTGTAGATGCGGAAACTGAGGCACAGAAATGGCAAATAACTTGCCCAAAGTCAGACAGGATAAAAGACAGAAGTCGGATTTAAGTCTAGGCAGTGGAGCTCCAGAATCTACTATTTGACTCTGTGCTGTGCTGAATAAGACACAGTATCTGTGTTTGAAGACTTCAGAGTCTAGAAGGGCAGGCATGTAAACAAATATGTTACAGTGCAACCCTTAAGCTCAACAGTGAGGCTTGCAAGAGGCACAGACAGCACGAAGGAGGAAGGGGTTAACTTGACTTATCTAAGGTCTCTCAGCTCCTAGGCAGCAGAGTGGGGATTGGATCCGAATCCTTGAGTTTGAACTCCAGAGTCAATGTGTTCTCCATTTCACTGGGCAGATCCATATTTGAGAAAAAGAGTTCGGATTTACAGCGAGAAAACAATAACGAACTTAGAGGAACATAGCATCTGAACACAGGATGAAAGCTGAGCTCATTTGAACAGAAAATAAAGGACTGTGCTTTGTAATAAATATAAATACAGACATAGATATAGGTATGCAGATCTCTTTGTTTATATAACATATAATTAATAAATTAATGTACATATGTATATGTCAACAGAACTCTTGTGAATATCAGTTCAGCTGTAACTCTCCCAGGTTATCTTAAGGCTTATGGTCAGTCAGAATAAAACAGGGCCAATGTGAGGAAGCAGAAGGAAAGCCAAAAGACATAGAGACACTGATGTCAACCATTCTGGGTGCATAATAGATATTCAAAGATTACTCACTGATGGAATAATTGGTTAATTGACTAATTGATTAAAAACAGGAAAGGGAATTAAAAAAATACTAAAGACAGCTCATTCCAATTCACATTTAGTGAAAATTTTGCTGAGGAGAATTAGTGAAATTGAAACATTCAGAATTGAGATTTCATATCGACATGTCAGAATTTTATGCCCAACATTTCTTTTGGATGACCACTTTGATATTTCTCTGACCCCTTTTTAAGTGTAATTACTACTTATTGACATTGTTAAGGTTTTTAATCCAAACAATGGCAAAAAAGAGTTCCACAGGGAGAAAGAAATTTGGCTAGTTTGAACTCCAGTCATGTTTATAGTTTATTTTAGGTTTGTAAAATTCCTTGCTTTAATTTACTAAAATAAAAGAATGTGTACATTTTTTCTGCTGCCACCAATAGTTCTATTGTCACCCTAGGAACTATATACTATTTTATAAATGAGAAAAAAGCTCATACAGTTTGCCAAGTTGTTGATAGCACAGCTAGTAATTTATGGAGTCAGAATTAGAACCCAGATCTTCTGAATCAAAGTCCAGCACTGAGTGTTAGCATAACAGAAGAGAACATGTTCAGACATTCAGATCAATAGGGTGTCAGAAGACTTCTCATGTAGATAAAAAGGGATGAACAGACAGTTTCAAGACAAAAACAGTGAAGCTCCTCTCAGGATTCCTCAGAAAAAGCTAATGCTAAAAGTCTTAAGCAAACATCAAAGGAAATGCCATCAGCCTTTAATTTAAAGAGAAAGAAAAGATGCAAGCAAAACTATTTAAGTCAATATGATTATCTTATTCACATGTAAAAATCAGATTACCCATCCAAATAAGCACATATCAGTCTTTCAACTGTTACTTGTAACACTATACTAGACCCTATTAAGAAATAATTAAGGAATATAAATGCTTGCAAATTAAGATATTAATTAATATTACTGGAAAATTGCTCATATATAATTAACTTAAGCATTGATCTTCACTTAGGTGGATTTTAAAATAATTAAGACAAGTTGAAATATGTTGAAATTCAGAGTCTAACTTAAAAAATCAACTTCAAATATCTAGGAAGGAAGAGTCAGGATTTCTATAGTTAAATATTCAACTCCTGTAAGACTTGCAATTAGCTTTTTTTTTGACATAGTTTACATCATTTGAAGCAAAATACTTCATGAACCTAAGCTTTTCTGTTCTTAGCCTAATACAATAATCCTGATGGTCCAAACACAAAGCAGAGGACCAGGTCCACATAAACACTCTCTCGAGGGATGCAATGTAAGAAGGATTGCCTCATGCTACCCAGGTGGTTTTTACTGTTTGCAGTAACCTTTATTATCACAATTTCTAACAAAACACATTTTCTTCATGTATCTGAAATCTCAAGCTCTATGTGGAACTGCTGAGCTGGACTTTTTTAATGAACTCATATGAATTAAACATAACAAAGAAAAGACATGGTATCCTCAGCCCTCTGTGATCCCTGCACTGACCTTTCCAGTGGTGTTTTCTATTCTTTCAGAAACACCCAGCTGCCAGTAACTGCTTCTTGCCTCCTTGCCTTTGCTTGTGCCATCTGCTCTGCCTGCAGTCTGCTCCCCATCGCATTTCTCCTGCCAACTTCTATTTGTTCTTTCAGATTTAGCCCAGCTGTTACTTCCTCCAGTAGCTTCTCTGCCCCTTTCAAGTTGAGTTGGGTGCCACACTTCTCCTGCCCCTCAGATGTCATGGGCATTTTGTGCATCCTGTTACATCATCATGACCTACATAAGCAATGAATTCACTTGAAAGACTAGGTCTTGAGAGGAGAGATTGGGTCTTTTATTTTTTAATTGTCTCTTTGCCTTAGCCCCTAGCATAAAATCTGGCACATGTAGGTGTTCAGTAATGTTTGTTGAATGAATGAGATGATTCTTTATTCTGCCATAATAGAAACTGATTATCTCACAACATTGTAAAAAATATTATATGCCCATTTTTCTCAACAATATTTTGAGATCTATTTAGAATATCTCTTGCAGATGGGGAAAAAACAATCATTTTTTTCCTATTCTTTCAGAACAAACTGGAGATGTATAATTTTATCTAGATTCTAAATAGCTCATAAATGCCCATTCAGAATCAAAGATTTTTTAAGGGAGTTGATTGTTTGCTGGTTAAGTACCCCAAACTAGAGATTTAGCTAGTGGCTAATGCCCAGGATTTGACTAACAATTGTTGAAAAACCTAAGATAGGAACTCTTTGTTTTGTTGCTTTTGTTTCTAATTATGTTTATTCTTTTTTGATAATAAAAGTAATCTGTATTTTTTAAAGGTTAGCCGGCAAATATAAATTAAATAAAATAGACACTATCTACATTTCCACATTCTGGAAATAACCACGATTAACATTTTGATATACATGATTTCTCTTTGCATATATTTTTATATGTTATGTATATAATTTTTATTTTATTTTATTTATTTATTTTTTATATTATACTGTAAGTTCTGGGGTACATGTGGAGAATGTGCAGTTTTGTTACATAGGTATACACATGCCATGGTGGTTTGCTGCACCCATCAACCTGTCACCTACATTAGGTATTTCTTCTAATGTAATTATCCCTCCCCTAGCCCCCTACCCACCGACAGCCCCGGTGTGTGATGTTCCCCTCCCTATGCCCATGTCTTCTCATTGTTCAACTCCCACTTATGAGTGAGAACAACATAATCTTTGAAACAACATAGGGACCTTATTATTATTAGATTTTCTATTTCACCATTTATAACTTATTTTAATTATAATTGCCCTATGTCCTTATTTTCTTGAACACAGCATTTGTAATTACTGCTTAATACTGAAGTAAGGTAGCTCTCTCTAAAGCAACTAATGGGTCCTTGCATATAGCATGAATATTTACCATTTCACAATTGGCTCTGAGGATAAGAAGGAACATTTTAATATATAGCAGGACCCATCAACTGATAATTATTAGAATGTCTCTTGCTGCAACCTCATACACAAATAAGTTTTAAAGAAAGATTTTGAATGCACAAATTGAATCAGTGCCTTAAATAAAGATTTTCATTCATTCAGTGTTTATATAGTACCTATTATGCACGAGGCATAGTCTAATATTAATCAAGGTAAACAAAAAAGGAGAATACTTATAATTACTGCAAATCGGCCATCTAAACATACTTGAATCCATCCCCAGACCTAAATATACCATCTGTCCAAAGTCTGCCCTCTGCTGCTGTCCCACCAAATGAAGTCAAAACATTTACTTTTCTGAATAGAAATTGCATTCTATTCTGAATTTATTTTTCCTATATTTAAAGAAAGACTGGTGCTACCAATTTTATACCCAGCCTTCCAAGAATTATAATTCCTAACTAAAGCAACCGTAAAGTACAAAAAGCTCAGTTAATGTCCCATGCTGGGCACTGCAAACTCTTGTGGTGAAGAATGGGTGCATTAGGCAACAAGTGTCCCTGTGAAGGGCTCTGACTACACCATGGCCCCACCTGGGAGTTGCTTGGAGTCCAGCAGCAGAAATAAGCTTTTCAGGCAGAAGCCTGCCCTCTTCTCTACTGAGGAGACCTGACTCGGAAATCCTCCCGAGTTCATTAAAAAGTGAATGAGGAAATGTCGATGACACTATTATTTCTCTCTCTCTGCTCAGATTCCTTTGAAAGACATTTTCTAGTGAACATGCATTTCTTATTTCTAACATTCTGGATAGGATAGTAAAAAGGCCAGCCTGAACATATCTTTAGTTAGTAGGGATCCTGATTCTTTGAAGCATATGTTAGCATTATCACCATTTAGGAGGGCCCCCTTGCTTTTAAAGTCTATCCACACAGCATATTGGGTCACAGCTTAAACTACCGAAAGTCCAAATTTAAGCAAGATGATAACAGGTTTACAAAGTCCAATCACTAATGAAATTACAAAATCAAAATGCATCAAAATTGTTCTGGTAGGGACAGGCAGGAGTATGAAAGAGAGTCATGGAAATTAATATGCTGTGATCTAAGAAGAATGTAATTTTTTAAACTATCAATTGCTATGAACTAGAGAGTCAACCCAGCCCAGCACTGCCATAATATGTATTCTGTATGAAGAACTTACGTTAACAAGGTGAGTCAGTTTTCAGGAAGTATTGTTATACTTATTATAATTATACATCTCTTAGCAGTGCTGTTTTCTGAAGCAGGCATTTTAAAGGCTAGAAATTATTCTTTAAAGCAAGCTTCTAAAAGTTCTAATTTAACATTTAGAATTTCAGTACATTATTTAAGTTGTAATCACCCATAAGTCCTATAGACCTTGTTACATTACATTTCTGCTTAGGTGGAAGCCTGAAATGAACTTGTGATACTTTTCATTGCATCATTTCAGTGTGGGATCAATAAATGAAGTGGACCAGAAGGATCTTTTTCAAAGGTGAAAGGCAGAGGCAAAATATAGACATCATGGGCTGTTGTCTAACCAGATTTTTTTTTTAATTTAATTTTCTTGTTTTGTCAGCTGAGGCTAAAAGCAATTTTCTATTTAGGTCTGTGGCAAAGTCAATAAATTTGTCAACCTGAACCAAACTTGTTTGCTAATTTTGCAACATAGTAGTTGACTATTCAAACATTTCCAGAATGCTCCATTATATAACTGAAAAGGTGGTTTAGGTTGGGTTGAAGAGAGGGGCGTGCGATCAGCTAAGCAATTTCCTCAAAACTTGTGGGTCATTGCATTTCACTTGGTGGGGTTTCTTAGAATGGAAAATCAGAGCCTCTCCCAGGGGCCTGGGCTGAAAGCTCTTTGGGGCTTCATATTTGGGAGGGTCTCAAATTTAGATTTTTTGAAGGTATCATCAAATGATCCTAATCATGTAGTCATTTGTATTGTATGTGTGTTAAGATGTTGTTTTGTTAAATAGAAATGTTTAAAATGCACTACATTTTAGTAATCCCATTTTGGATTAAAACAATGCAAAGATATATATGTATATTTGGTGTCTTAAAAAAATAGAAGTGGCTCAAGCTTCCACGGAAATCTGAGAGGCTTTGCCAAAGCAAATTAGAAAATTATTGATCTTTACTTCTTTGTTTGCAATTAATTTTATATGTGGCTTTGGGGGGGGGGGTAACATTTAATTATCTCTTCTTTTCTTTCCAATTTTTTATTTTGTAAGTTGAGGTTAATAATTACAGAACCATGTAAAGAGATGCCTATAGTGTACCTAAGTTTTCATTACTTTACAAGTGATACAAATAATATGACAGCTCAGGTATAGAAGTGCTTGACTCCCCTTTATCATGGCAGAGAATTCTGCTATTTGAATAATTTAGGAAGATTTCTGTAACATTTTTCTATGGATTTTCTCTATTTTTCTTTTTTTGCAAGTATCTATATTAAAAGAGAAATAAAATGAAGAATTTGAAGTGCCAAAACAATGACATCAAAAAAGATCACAAATTCTCTTTAACACTGTAAGTCTGAAAACGAAAAGGCAGACAGCAAATCCATATTAAAGAGAAGTAATCAAAATATTGTTTCTTTCTGCAGTCCTGCTAGTATTTTCCACTTTTTAGGAAAGACCTGGGAGGTCAGATAGACATTTACCTATGATGTGATTAAAAAAATCAATTAGATCTTGAGTTTATGAATCTACGGTAAAAGGTAACTTCTTGGAGAATAAGGCATCATAAATACAATGTTGTATAGAAAAGTTAAAAAGAAATGGAAGCAAGAAAAAAGGGAGATGACCTAAAGGGAAATTGAAGTGAGAGCAAAGAAAAGCAATGACTACAGAAACAAAGGCATTACAAAAGTATTAAAAAATACATAATTTGTTTCTTAGTCATTACTGTTTCTAAATGTCTTCTTCCAATTTGGCTACAACCAAATTTTATTTTCAAATATTATTTCGTCCTATGACTAAAATTAGAAATTTAGGTATAGTCATGACGAGAACAACAGTTTATCTCTCCCACTGTCGTTGCAAAATACCATGATGGTCTAAGATTTTTTTTTTTAATTGTTGACTAATTTTAACTTGATCCCGCTGGAACTTTCTCTTTAAGGTCATTGTTGGAGGTAGAAATTTTAAACCATATAATCAATGATTTTAAATATGTATAAGAAAATTTCTTACTCAATGTACAGGTATAATCTGAATCACTGTATTTTGAGCCAACATTCTTGTATTTTCAATAGATAACATTACATTGGGATGTACATTCTAAGACCTTCTCTACACTATTTGAAGGTGATAGTCATAGATTGATGAAACGGGTGTTGAAATGGATGAATTATCACCATACGTTCTCTTTCTCTATGTAAGGAAAATGAAGATTTTATTGCTAGTTCTTGTTTTTCATAAAATGATCACTTAAAATTCATAGCATTGTGAGCTAGTGAAAGTGATAAAAAGAAATAGGAATACAAGAGAAAGAGTCAAATTACCATTGGTTCCAATTTAAATTTTGTCCATCTACCTTTCCTTCTGCCATTATTCTCAGATAGGCAAACATCACCAAACCCAAACTATCAGTCAACCTTCCTACTGGCCTCCTTGTACCCACCTCCACCTCCACCACCACCTCCACACCATCATCTCTCCTACATTTTTACTATGCTGATTTTCTTACTTTCTTCAGAAGTTTTCAAAAGATCTTCATCACTAAAAATCTGAGTTCCCTAGACTTAACACCTTTTGCAGTCTGTACTATTCCATTCTGTTCTCCTATTCTGCTCCAGAAGGTCTCTACTGGAGCCAGAATGATTCTCACTGTTGCCAGAATATACTTCTGGCATTTTAATTTTTAGCTTTTAATTTTAATCCAACATGCTAATTTACTGTAACTATTTAGTATACTTGAAGATCAGAATTACAAGGGTATTTTTCATCTAGGATGTCTTTCCTTTTCCTCTCCACCTACTAGAATCTCACATGGACTTTTAATAGCCGGCTCAAGGTCTGTGGGCTCTCTGAAATCTTGAATGTCCTCAGTCCCTAGGGACTCCTTATTTCCTGGAGTCCTGGAGCATGCTGTGCAGTTCTGCTGACACTAAGTAGGTTCTAGTCTGGGAAGCCAAGTCTCCCTTTATGTGGATGTATCTTACCCCCAGCCCCTACCCCTATAGACACACAGACCAAATCTCATATATCTATTCATGGTGGCACATATTTTAATTTCTTATGTGAAGGTCAAGTTAAAGTGTTTGTCATCTCATTCCCAGACTTGCTTCATTATTCACTACTTACGTATTTTTCATTTTATTCATTTTTAAGGTCTGCCCATATTCTGATGATTAGCTCTTTCTACTATGGTACATGAAACAAGCATGAGCCTAACTGAATGTTGCATGTGCCATGCATTAAAATTCAAAACAGCACAAGTCTATTAGCAAATGCGCATGAGATTACATTGTGGTATGATTTTAATAAATATTCAGAACATTAAATTATAATTATAATGATTAAGTCTGTGTTTTGCTTATGAAAGAAAAGTTATCGTGAGTTTTGTTGAGAGCAGACCATATATTTCTTCACTAATTTTGGCCACATCTGAAAATGTCAAATGATCTAGGGAAAAAAATAGTCAAATGATGAACCAGATACTTAATTGTTTTAATTTATTAACTTTTGCCAAATTAGTTTTCATGTGTATATATCTGATTTTTAAGTCAGTGTTAGAAAAGTTTTGTAATAAGAATTTTGCTATGTAGAGTAGGTTTAAAAGAAACATGATTAAACTCTTCAATAGAAGTCTCTTGTGTGTGCTTTTAATTTTTATCCAATGCTAATTTACTATAATTATTTACTATACTTGAAGATCAGAATTACAACAAAGCCAAAGCTTACAATTTTAGGAAGAGTAAAACTTTAACGATCTATACATTTATCTCCACCCGATTTTAAATGATATTATAATTTAATATCAAATTAACATATTGGAGTGCATTCATTCTTGTTTGATTGACCCACTATTAAATGAAATTTTACAAGAATAGATTTGATTTTCTAACAATTATTGCAATTTTTGCATGGTTAATCTTTTATTTATCTGGTAACTTTGCAAACAGAAAGAAATCTTAAATTGGAAACATCACTATTAAATGATGGAAATAGAAATTTTAAAAGGAATTTTTTTGAGATTTCCCTACCGTTAAAATTAGTACATTTGTTATTATCATTGTTCCCCTAGACCACAATACTTCTCGTCTGATAAAAGACAAAACTATGGGGTAACTCTAAAAAATAGACAATGAGCTAAGAGACAAGTAAAAGTAAGTTTGCAATACTATACAGTTAATAGACCAAACGGGCACATTTGGAAAGGAAAAAAAATTGTTAACTACACATTTTGTTTAATGTTTAATGTCTTGCATCGACTTAAGAATATCTTACTCGAGGAGCAATGTTTAGTTTTCTTTTATAGAAATAGGAATTGACACATCTGTTGTAATCTAGCATTGCTTCTGATTGGTTATTAGATTGTTCATTCATGTCATAAATACTTAAAAGGCAAAGAACCCTCAATTCTTGATTCGTTTGTGATTTGTTTTTCTTTCCTCACTTTCAGAATAGTTTCTAGTTGATACATTTTAATAGCAGAATAAATAAATGATTTGCCAACATATAAAATATGGCAGAGTTAAAAACCCTACCTCTGACATGTTGAGAGCCAAGTAGATTTTTTTTTTAATGCAGAAAATACCTACTTAAAAATTCTTTTAAAATGCCAAACAGCCTTTTGCCTACTCAGCACACTGCCGTTGGTGTAGGAGTGGTGGCTGATATTGGCCTGTGATTTCCAACTTCATGGCATCTTGAGTAACTGTACCGTTTGGAAGTATTTGTCATTCTGTAAAATTTTCTCTGAAAAGATCAACAACTTAAAAGAAAATAACTCTTTCACTATGTAATCAATATTTTCTGGAGATTTCGATTATGTTTCATTAAACAATCTGACCTCATAACTATTGTTACTGTATTGTTTTGCTTTGACTTCAATTCATAAGTCTTTTGAAAACGGAATATTTCTGGATTCATCAGTCAACCAACCTAGTAAAATCTTAATAGAGAATGACACCAACCAAGCTAAAACTTTCAGTGATTATTTTATTGTATGAAAGCCAAAATTCTAAAAGCAAATAGAAATTGGTGTAACTGATGTTTAATCCAAATGTACAACAGTAAACTGACTTAGCTTCTCTTTTTTTTTTTTTCAAGAGCTGACGCAAGTTGGACAGAAGGAGGTGTTGGGGTGAGGTGGTGGTGTTGATTGGCTTGTCTCGTTCACTCCCACTGGTCTTTAAATCAATGTCTAGATCTCTAAAGTTTCATATAAATCAAAGCTGTTACACGGGTCTGCCATTCCAAACAAGTCAGGAAAGCCTGCACAGGACTGGATAAATAATTAAGGTACAGCTGTTTTTACATGAATATTTGCAGTGTTAAAATAATGCTTACTTTCTTATTTTTATTGTGTTGTTTGTTTATTAATTAAAAATTAAAATGTTTGAAAATACTACTTGGATAACTTTTTTTCCTCATTTTAGAAATGATCAATTCAGTATAATGTCAAACATTGAAATTATTTACCCAGGTCCTGATTGCAGTTTTCTTTTACAGATAATTTTAGGTTTAACATAAAATTAGGACAGTGAATAATAAGAAAGGGAAACATTGCAAATACAGCCGGTAAAATGTGTTTAGTTATTTATATCTCCAGGTTGATCATGGACTATAATGAAGAATTGACATAATCTGTCTTAGGAAAAAATATGAAAGTTCAGAAATACATTCTCAATATTACACTATTAAAGATTTTTGTTTATCTTGAAAACAAATAAAACCCCACAAAATTTTTGACTAATCAAAGAAGGAACATCACTTCAGTGCAGCAGATGTGAATGGCTAAGAGTTTGGGCTGTACCATTATCAAATGAAAAAGAAAAAATGTTGTGTCTTACCTTTTCTTCTTAATTTGACCATTTTAGTTAAGGAGTATTTTTAGAACAAAGTTACTAAAAGAAACTAGGGAATTGAATGGAATATAAGCATAGCTTTAGATTTTGAAGGAGTAGAGTCAATTATCTAAAAGTAGAGGTGTTCTCCTCAAATTTATTAATCAGACAGAGGAGAATTCCCAGTGGATTTAAGTATCCCTGTACTTTGAGTATCTTACAGAGCATATGTGGATGGTTTTAGTTAAATGCCCAGGGTATAGTAAAACTAAGAGTGTTTTGTAACTCAGTGGAAGAATATTTGAATTGATGATATATATCACATTCATGAACACTGGGCTAAAAAGTTTTAGTTTTGACAAAGTAAAGAAATTTGGGTGTGTTTTTAATAAAAGATTGCCATTTAGTTTATAGTTCAAGATCCTCCAGTTTCGATTTATATTTAGATAGCATTCTGGGATTTTCTTGAAAGTATTTACATTTGTACTCCTAAGAAGTATATAAGCAACATTTAAGATCTGAAAAATGTAGCTTTAATGACTCAACTTTTGAGTTTTCTTTAAACATGTTATACAGTGTGCTTTAAGGTTATTGAAGCTGTTTTTTAGTTATGTGAGTTAGTTTAAAGAAAGTGAAAATAATTATTCTAAGAAGAAGAAAAAAGTACCTCTGGGAATGGTCCAGTATCTATTATAATGAATGGAACTTACTGCATCCAGAACTCATGACAGATTAAGTATCATGCATTAAAATGTGGAGCAGAAAGAGTTCACTATGTTAATATCATGTATGCTACATATCCCTGTGCATTCTGGAAACTACTCTTTGGGAAAATATGAACTAAAATTTATGTGGCAATTTATGTTTAAGATGACTATGTTTTCTTCTAAGAGCAGAGCTAGAAAGTCTGTAAACAAAATCGCATATTCAAATCTTATGACCAGTCCTTTATACCTCATCAAATGGCTGCTTTAATTCTTATATTAGCAAGCATGTAATCTTTTCAGAAATGGGAAAAGACCTTAGTATTTGGTTATTTATCTTAACTTTTCTAGTTCTTCCTAGATATTATCTGTAAGCTATATCTGAGTAGAGGAAAAAAGGAAATGCCAAAATATTAGCACTAGCAATAGGAAATAGTCAAGTACAGTTCTGCTGTTATTGTTGGTTTCTTCTTTAAGAGCTACCTCAGACTGAATACTTTTATGGAAGCTAATTTCTGTGAGAACTCATGCTATAGACCAACAAGCGCTCTCACTGACAAAATATGACAAGAATGGCATTGTTGGGGAAATTAAGATAATTTAATATAAAGGTAATATTAGACTGATTGTAGTGTAAAAGCTACATTCATTTATCTATGGTACAGGGTGGATGTAGATTTAAATAAGTTCCTTGGATACAAGATGATTTGGCTTTTAGAAGTTGCATGACCCTTGCTCAACCAAAGGGTAAATGATAGGTGAGGCTTTCTGCTACCTAAACCTAAATTTCAAAGTGAATTTGTCAATACTGGGTAGGCATGAAAGATGAGACAGATAGCAATGCTGGGAAATCTGCTCTGGCTATATTAGCTCCCTTTTTCACTTTCACTTATCAGGTAAAATAAATGTTTACAGTAACTAGGGAAGGTCAGAACTTTTGCTTCTCGACTCAAGGACTGTTTTGCTTTCCAGACTTGATGTCTTTCTTTAAAGTTGAACCATACAGGTAAAATTTAAGAAATTTACTGTTTTGACACCCTTACACCCTGAACTTCTTAGGTACCCATCCAAAGAACAAGACATTACAATGTTTAATAATTAGAATTTGGATATAAAGAATTAGCTACTCAGAACACTTAGATACCTTTTAATTAATATGATAGAAATGAAATTATTCTAATATAATAATATTCTAAATACTTGGTTTCAAGTTTTGACTTTGTATTTTCATGAAGAGTCAATTGAATTAACAACGCAGTTGAGCACTGCTGTGCTAGAAAATCCAGTCTGTTTCTGCGAGACCTCTTTGTATTAGAGAGAAACTTAACTTTAATGAGGAGAAAGGCTAGACTATAGAAAATTCTGTTGAACTAAATTTGACTTTTCTTTTAGAAGCATTTTGAACATTCCCTGTGCAACAAAGCGATTTTTTCTCCTGACAATCAGAGGAGAGAATTTTCATTTCATTTTGAAGCATTATCCTATAAAACTATAATCAAAAAGCATACCTCTATCTATTACTATAACACAGATCATATCAAATTGCATTTATCTTAGTGGAATGTAACACTAGGCACTGTGCTAGATGCTAGGAATATGTAGAATCCACAACCCCAGCAGCATTCCTATTCTCATGAAGCTTCTGCCTAAGACAGTTAATTATCAAATAGGCAACTAAAAGAGTAAGTAAGAAGTGTGATAAATACTACGCAGGAGAGGAGAGCATATAGTGGCAGATCTAGTGTAATGTGGGAATGTGGGGTCAGAGCAGGACACTCTGACCAATTGGCCTTTAAAGATTTTCAGGTTGTTTTAGTTAACATTGGGAGGGACCTGGGCTAAGAATGTGGGGAATGGCAGTCCAAGCAGAGGGAACAGTGCCTTAAGAGGTCCTGCAGTGGCAGTGGGGAAATGAAAGAAGCCTAATATATTCAGTGAGTGAGGGGTGATCGGCTTCAGTATGAGACTAAAGAGCTATGTCTGGGTCAAAGTATATAGACCTTCCAGTGTATTAGGAAATTTGACTTTAGTCTAAAAGTGATGACAAAATCACAGTAGGGCCTTCAGTAGCGCAGTCGTTTGGAATAACATAGTGGTCATGGAGATAGAAGTGGATGAATTTTAAATAAATGTTGAAAGAAGGACTGATAGGACTTGGTGATACGTTGGACATGAGTAGGAGGTGAAGGATAGAGAATGGGACAGCCAGGTCTACCCAGTGAGTGGTTGGGTGAATGAAGGTAGCATGTTCTGAGATGGCAAACAGCAGAAGAATCTATGCCTATGAAAATTTTATGTTTCAATTACAGTGTTTGCCAGCAATATTCTTTTCTATCCTACCCATGCAATAATTCTTTGATTAATTCAATGCACATTTATTCCAAGAAAAAGGTAAAAAATGTTAATTATATTATGCTTTAAGAGTTTGCTCAAAATCTGTTTGTTTTAGTAGGCTGAGTTCCTCAGGTGCAAGGAGTCTGTTTTATTCATCCTCTGTGTCTTCCATAGTTTCTGATTAAATTTTAGCAATTATGATATAGTCTAAAGGCTTCAAGGTATATACTTTGTGCTGTAGACAGATGATTCAGAATATTTAGTTTCTCATAATGTGCTAATTCTTTTTGAATTGTGCATTTAACCATTGTTCCCTTAAATAGATCAGTGATATAATCTTCAGAGTTAAGATATAAGCCATGAAAAAGTGTCTCAACTTTTGTGAGAGCTCCCTTGGCCAAGGCAAAAATAGAATACATTTTTTTTTGAGATGGAATCTTCGTTGCCCAGGCTGGAATGCAGTGGTGCAATCTCAGCTCACTGCAACCTCCGACCCCGGGTTCAAACCATTCTCCTGCCTCAGGAGATTAACTGGGACTACAGGCATGCGCCACCATGCCCAGCTAATTTTTGTATTTTTAGGAGAGATGGAGCTTTGCCATGTTGGGCAGGCTGATCTCAAACTCCTGACCTCAGGAGATAGACCCTCCTCAGCCTCCCAAAGCTCTGGGATTACAGGTGTGAGCCACCGTGCCCATCCCAATAAATATTTTATATATGTTAAAACAGCATAAAATTAGGTCTTAATTTGTTCATTTGTGAAGGGGCATCTACCTCACTCACAATGTTTGTGAGAGTTTTGAGAACTGTAAAGCCCTCTTTTGTAAGTGTCTAATTATGCATATGAAATATTATGTATGTTTGCAGCTACATAAAGACATCAATTCAATTCTGATTACTGGAAGAGAGAAAACAGATCTAAATTTATTGAAGGCCTACTATAGGCCAAACTTTGACACTCATTATCTCATTTAAATTCTCACAACACTGCTTTGTGGTAAATAATATTAACTTCATTTCATAGAAAATGGAAAAGTCAGAAGTTAGTTAATGCAGCCAGGATTTATACCCAGTTTCGCTTACTGCCAAAGACATAGTTCCTGTTCCCTGATTAGGCTTTAGTTCTCTGTAGTAGAGATGGCAATACAAAGGTGGCATAGCATGAAGGCCACTCAACTTGGTGCCTCCATTACCTCATCTGTACAATGGGAATAAGAAAAAAAATTGTACTCACCTCAGAGGACCGCTCTGAAGAATTGATAGATGTAAGGCCTTAAAACAGTGGCTGGCATGTGGTAAGTGCCATATGAGTGTTTGATATATCTTTTCTAAAAAAATTCTGGGATTAGCATGGCTTAATGCAAATGAAATGAATGAGGTTCCTATTAATATACAAAGTAGAACAGACTTTAACTGAAGCTTTTGGACTGCAGACATGTATACTTACAGCAGCAAAGATCTCAGCCCTGCTGCTCCTTCTTCAGAGAAGCCTTCCCTGATCCCCCAGACTAAGTTGGATACTATGAAAGACACTGCTATGGCCCCCTAGAGGGGCTGGATAAATTAAGGATGGAGTGGAGGAGGGAGGGGAGCATGCCAGTCACTGTGACCCACATGTGCAAATGACCTGAGATGTAGAGAACACGGTGGATTTCTGGAATGGAAAGACTAGTGTAGCTAGAACACTAAGGTGAGGAGAGTGTGGACGGAGATGAGACCAGAGAGGTGGGTGGACCAGGCAGAATCTTACCAGGCATGTTGAGAATTTTGGACTTTATCCTCAGAGTAAAGGGAAGACATTAAAGGGTTTTAAGCAAATAAATGATATGATCTGTGTTGTTGCTGTTATGTTTCAAAGATCACTCTGGGTATTGGGTAAAGAATGAATGGTGGGGGTGGTTAGGGGAGGCAAAAGAGAATTGAAGATCAATTAGGAGATTTTTACAGTAGACATGATGGTAGCTTGGACAAGAGTGAAGGTGAAAGAAATGAAGAGAAAAAGACTAACTTGAGAAATACTTCAGTTTATTGTAAAAGTCAACCAGACTTTGTAAAGAACTGGATGTGGAGGGTAAGAAAGAAAAATTTATAATAGAAGGCTCTTATGCTTTTGACTTGAATAATTGGATAAATGGTGACAACATTCTTTGGAATGGAAACATTGGAAGAAGAGGGCCTATCACAAGTTAGACTTTGAACACATTGAATTTAAACTGCCTTTGAGATATATAGATGACATTTAGGCCCCTGGACACATGGAACTTGAGTTCCCAGGAGAAGCCTAGGCTGATGTAACTTGAGGAGTCTTTGGTATATGTATTCATCAGAGTTCTCCAGAGAAACAGAACCAACTGGAGATAAATAGACAGACAGGTATAGATGTATATAGATATAAGATGACATTTATAATGGGAATTGGCTTTCATGATTATGGAGCCAAGAGATCTCAAAGTACAGCATCTGCAAGCTGGAGAACCAGGAAAGCTGGTGGTATAATTTAATCTGAGGCCAAAGGCTGAGAAACAGGATGTTGCTGGTATAAGTATCAGAATTACGAGGTCTGGGAAGCAGGAGCTCCAATGTTCAAGGGCAGGAGAAGGCAGCAGAAGATGGATGTCCTAGCTCAAGCAGAGACAGTAAATTTGCCCTTCCTCTGCCTTTTTGTTCTATGTGGAACCTGGAGTGTTTGGAGGATGCTCACCTTCAGTGGTGAGAGTGGACCTTTTTTACTCAGTCTATTGATTCAAATGGTAATCTTTTCCAGAAACACCCTCACAGACACACCCCAAAATAAAGTTTTACTTGCTATCTTCCCATCCTTTAATGCAGCCACAATGACATATAAAATTAACCATCACGTTATATGAAGTCTTGGGAGTGGACTGGAAGAATGGGGCTTAGGATCTAGCTTTAAGGAAGTCAAGCAATGAAATGTCACATATTTTTAAAAGGACAAACCACAAAAACTGTGAAAAGCAATAGTGGTGTCATCAGCAAATAGAAATTTTTGAGAATTCCTAGAAGGCAGAAAGAAGATAGGGTTGGAAAATCTAAGAGAAAAGGAACCAAGATAAGTGTGCTTTTCCCATAGGGAGCCCTGCAGTAGCTTCAAGTTAAGTCGATAAAGACAAAGAGGAGGCATAGATCATGGGCAACCAGTGATCAGGTATCCACCAAGGAACCTCAGTTTAGACATCATGGTCTGTTTGGGATACCATTTTTGACTATAAGATAAAGCTGTGATCCAATCTGTAAAGAAACCTCAAGGGAGGATGCTAGGATAAGCATTAGGGCCTCTACTGCAGACAAAGAGGTATAACAAACAGGAATGGAAGCTCTACCAAAAAGAAGATACATTAAAATGCTTCACCCCCGGAGTAACTGCTCCTAGAGTGGCAGCTGTGTCTGGGAGTGGGATGCTCCTCCCACAGACAAGCAGCAGAAGAGCCACTTACACAGAACCTACAAGGGAGCAGCCCATCAGTGAAATGGGCCCACACAATTTCAGAGAAGCTCTGAGTACCAGCTGTCCAAGCTAATCGATGCGCTCTGTCATTCACAAATATGAACAGATAACCTAGGAACACTTGAAACTAAGGAAAATGAGCAGCATGGAAGAGAAGGACCAAAGGGAACAAACAGAATAACTAACTTCAGAAGAAACGTATAATTTAGGGAACAAAAGGAACTTCTGAAAACCTCACATCAATATCCTTAGAAAAATCTGAGAAAATATAGTATCCATAAAACAAAAAAAGTGATATGAAAAAAGAGAAAGAGGATAAGAGCAAATTATTAGAAATTAAGAGCATGATTGAGAAAAATAGCTGACAAGTTGAAAAATGAAACGGATATAGCTGAAGGTGAAATTTGTTATTTTGGATGTGACATTGAGGAAATATTCCTGAACATCGAGCAGTAAGATGAACAGATCGAACATAAACAGAAAAGCTTAGCAATATGGATCAAGAGGTCCAATACCTGATTAATAAAAGTTTCAGGAGTAAACAAAGGGGAAGAAATAGTTTTTTTAAATAGTAGAACTTTTTTTATTTTTAGAAAATGTGTCTTCTATAGAAGAAAGACAAGCCTTTTGATTGGGCCGTCTGCATGCTGAGTATGATGAATTTTAAAAGCGACTCACATCTAGTCACGTCGTGATGAAAGGATAAGGATAAAAATTCTGAAATCCTCAGAAAACCATCGATAAATTATCTATAAAGAAATAAGAGCCAGACTCATCAATAGAAGCTAGAAGAGAGAAGTTTCTTCAATATTCTGAAGGAAAATGCTTCTGAATCTAGAATTCAAACAATTAACAAAGTTTGAAGGCAAAATAAAGAATTTTCCAACATGAAGCAACTCAGAAATTCTATTTACAGACATAGGCTCATTGTGTGAAAAAAGTTATTCAAGGCATTATTTTAGCATAATGCAAAATAAACTGAAGAAAGAAGATAGAATGCCGTTCAAGAAACTAGCAGCTGAGCAAGACTCAGAGGTTGGAGGAGGAAGCCATTCAGAATGAGAAAGAGCATAGAAAATTTGCTTTCAAAGTTTTGGTAATATAGAATTATATTTCACTTATTATGTAGTCAAATACACCACTTTGTCTTTAGGGCATACTATTTATACAGTGATAATACTGTAATTGCTGCTTATTGGTTTTCCATGTTTAGAAACAACCTACAGGCAAGTTATGACACTTGTTTCACAGAACAAGATGAAAATATTATGATTCTCAAATTGTAAAAGTATTTTATTAACTAAAATAATTAGGAGTGTAGGAGAAGGAAGGAAAGAAAGAAAAAGTATGCTAATGTCCTTATTTTTTATGGGTAACCAGTCTAAAATCAGTAAACCAAGTCAAAAAAGCTTTAGTGAATTATTCAGATCTAGAATGGCTAACTTTAAGTAACAAGCTAAAAACAGAAACCGTCAATAGTGGTTGCTGCTGGGAAGTGAGACTGGTACTGTGTGAAGAATGAGGAAAACCTTTGTACTCATTTAGTGAGTTTCTTTTTTTTTTCTTTTACCCATATGCATGTCTTACTTCTATTCTCTCTTAGCTTTTAACCTGCTTCTTTTCATCTTTTATGTATATACATTTAGGCTGCCTTATATTAATAATAGTTTCATTTTTGTTCCTCCTGCTTAAAACACTGTGTGCTATTTTTTTAAATTCTGAGAACTGCTTTCTTTATTTCTAGACAATTCTCTGCCATTATCTCTTTCTGTTTTGTCTCACCCTAGTCTCACAATTCTCTATATTGGAATGACTATCAGTGTATATTTGAACTTGTAATTCTTATTTTTTCCCCATTCCTCTTAACTTCTTATTTGTATTTTTCTTTTTTTAATCTCTTCATGCTATAATTTGAGTGATTTCCACAGATCTGTCTTTCAATTTTATAAGTCTTCCTTCAGCTGAGTTTTTTTAAATTTCAATGATTCTATTTTTTTCTTTTTTTTAAGAATTCCTTTTTTTGACTCTTTTTGCAACAGCCTGTTCTCCTTTTATATTCCTTTATAATGTTTTTATTCTGTGAAAGTTATTCTCTTATTTTGAATGTTTTCTTTCAAAATGTCTTTCTTTTTATTAATTTAATGTAAAAGTCCCTTTTAAATTGCTTTGTTATTTGTAGTTCCTTAGATGTGAATTTTATCATTTCTTGTGCCTACTGGCACTCTTGCTAGTGAGTTTCCATGTGTGTTCTATATGTTTTGTAATTTGAGGATGTGAACTTTTCTCAAGTGTGAGTTGCCTTTCAAAAAAGTACTGCCATGGCACTGGGTTGTGGAGGTATTCCCATGTGGTAGTTTCTGTTTGTCAGAGGAATAGCACATTTTGTGACTTCTGGAGCAATTTTTATGTTAGTTTCTCTGCTCAAGATTTCCTTATCAAATGGGTATTGCACATGTCATGACCACACTTTTCAAGAATGATAGTGTTTCTCCTAATACGATGGTTCAACAATAATTGAATGAATCTAATGGTAAGAATTTCAGAAGAAATTATATCAACTACATATAGTAGATTCAAGGCATTTTTCAAAAACACAATGCCAGTCCACCCCTTTTCACTATACAATTGAGGAAAATGAGGTCCCCAAATGTTAAATGACTTCTGCTGAGATCCAATGAATTAAAGGCAGAGCAGAGGCTAAAATCTAGATCTCTTTGTTGTTAAAATACATTTTAATTTGACACAGATGATGAGTAATGCTGACCCAGAGGTAAATCTGAACTTTCTTTTGTTACTATTCTTAACTTTGGCTTCAGGATCCAAGTGCCTAGAAAGTTACTTCCTAAACTTGATCCTCACCTATGTTGCATATTATCAAGCATTTGGTGGTGTTAATTCTTTCATGTCCAATTAAATTAAAGCAGTAATTTTCTTTCTAGTTATTGCTAGTAGAGACACTGGTAGATTCTGCCTTGGTAGACCTTCCTCTGTCAACAATTTACTTTTGTCTTCCTTTCTTTTAAAACATGTATCCCACTCACAAATACCTAAATTTCCTTGAAGACTGCTGCCATGTCTTAAGATTTCTTTTTTTTTCCATAGTGACTAGTAAAACCTGCCATTTTCATTATACATAGGCACTCTATAAATATCTGCTAATTTAGCAATTATTAGTAATTTCCTTTCTTCTCTTCCATTTCTTCCTTTCTTGTATTGGGTAAAGGAACATTTCAGGATTTTCTTATGTAAAGTTTTCAGGAGTTTCTTTCCTTCCTCCCTTTTACAGAGAGCATACAAAATGTAGATGATTCATATTCACTTATTTCATTTAAATAAAATTATAATGATGTATGTTGTGTTCTGTTTGCAGAACAGAGTGTTCTGAACATCAACACAAAGTGGAAGAACCTTAAGCTGAAGGTACAGTATATTATTTACACTGAAGGGGCTTGTGTGTGGACAAGAAAGCGCTGACAGCTCAAATGGATCCCATGGAACTGAGAAATGTCAACATCGAACCAGATGATGAGAGCAGCAGTGGAGAAAGTGCTCCAGATAGCTACATCGGGATAGGAAATTCAGAAAAGGCAGCAATGAGCAGGTATGGGGTTAAAAATTACTATGTTCCATGGAAAAATAAGACAGGATGTGGACATGGAAAACAGGGTCTTGATGGGAAGAACTGGATTTATTACAGGTAAATTTGTGATAACAATGATATTGATGCTAGCACATCAATTCCCTGGTCCTGAAATACAGTGATAATGTCAATCTCTTTTGTGACTGATTTAGAATTGAGGTTACAATGTCTTTGTCTCCATTAATAATGTGTAATAATTTTAATTATTTTAGCCTATTGCTCCTCTTATCTTTCTCAGATTCCTCTTTGAATGTTGCTACACCTCCTGGTTTCTGTAGGGATTCTTTTCTCTCTAAAAGTATCCTCTGGGCAAGCTCACTCACAACTACTATGGCCTCACCCTCCAAATATATGCCATATACCCAGCCTGTTAAGTTTCTCTACTGAATTTCAGATAATTATATCTGAATGTCTACTGCACGTCTCTACTGGACCATTACTGTGTCTAAATTGCCTCATTTATAAAGTTAAACCTGTAATGTCTAATACTGAACTCCTATCTTTCCCTCCAAAACCTGCTCCTCCTCTAGTAATCCCCATCCTAGTGAAAATCACTGCTATCATGTAGCAACTCACTCAAAAGCCCCTAGGTGTAAACTTTGACCCACATAGCCAACGGTCAGTCATATCCAGTTGGTTTGACCTTATTAATGCTTCAAATACACCTACTTTTCTGTACCCATTCTACTGTGGTCTTACGTTAGGCCTACATTAAATGTGAGACAGGGAGAGAGCCCTGATTTCTCTCCCTGTCTTACATTTTGCTCTCCTCTGTCTAGCCCTCTACACTCCTGCAAGAGCAATCTCTTACAATTGCAAATTGAATCAATTTCCATCCTTAGATAAAGCCCTTCTGCACCTCTCCAATAGCCATAAGAGAAAGTAGATTACACACACTGCTGGGCACGTAAGGTCCTTTGTGATCTGTTCTTGACCTGCCCCTCCTGTCCTGTTTTTTGCCCTCTCCCTATTTGTTACTTGTTGCCTTCACTCATTCTGCTCCAACTGCCTGGAATCAGTCACCTGCTCCCCCTTTCTCCGTGTTGACACCTCTCATCCTTCAAGAATCAGCTCAACATCAGGTCTCCTATGCAGCCTTTTCCAAATTACTCTACTCCCCCATGTAGAAGTGACTGCCCCTCCTTCATGTACCCTCTCCCTGTGCAGATGTTAATTACGCCACTACTACAGGTTAATGGCCTCTGTGGTCCCACCACCTGCCACATTGTCTGGTGCATAGTGAGTGCACAATAGTTATTTGATAAGTCAATTGATTTCCCACAAAATGTTATATCAAATTGTACATGATTTAAGATGCTCAGAAGGGAATTTTTGACCAAATCTAGGCGTGAAATAGAGAATATTGTGCTCAAACAAAGACTTCTCATTTTATTTACAACACCCAGGAAAATCCATCAGGAGAAACTACCGTTCTTCCTTCAAGTAGCTCAGTGCAATGAACTTTAGGGATGTCGGACTAGAGAGGCCACTGAGATGTAAATTATAGCATTTTCTAAATTAGGTGACCCTTGAAGAAACACTAGGGTGCTAGAAGACAGGGCTTTGGAGTCTGCAGAGTAGTTGCCTGACTTTAGAGAAGCTGTTTGTCCTCTTTGAGCTTCAATGGAAAATGTAAAATGGCAAACCAACAGCTGCTTTTCAAGGATGAGATGGGTGACCAGAATATAGATGACATTCAATACTTTTTTATTACTTCTCCTTCACTGCATTACCCTCAGTAAATTGATTCAAACCTGAGGATGTTTCTGAAAGGCATGCACACAAATATGAGCTCTGCCGAGGTTGACAGAGTTAAAGGGGACACCCTCCTAAGAACTGTCATAGTGTCATTCCACTTGATCCTCAAAAGCCAGAGTAGAAAGAGCATGAATGCTTTTCTTAAGCTTCATGCAATGTGTTCCGAACCACTCACAGTGACTTACCTTTTATCTCCTGGCTTAAACATAGGACATCATTTTGCAGTTTTTAAAATCAGTTTAAAGAGATGGGTTTTATCTATGTGTGGTTTGGATTGAACCCTTAAATGTAAATTTTTGAGAAATTCAACATAATGTATTTATTTGTGATCATTATACTTGTGTTTTCAATACATGCTGGGTTTGGTATCAAAACATTTAACATACTGGGGACATTTCTCATCTATTTTATACAATCTTGGCATGTTAAATGACTACAACTCATCTCATGCCAAAATAAGAACATGCAAATGCCTCAAAGAAAGAAAATCTGTTTACTTTCAAATTCTCAATTTTAAAAACTACTATGGAATACAGATTTTAGTTTATTGATTAAAATAAAGATTCCAGAGTTTAAATTCTAGGTGGCACTTTTGTTTTTATAGTCCTCAGGCCCATTTTAGGCTTCATTTTATCCTGTCATCTCAGTCTCCAACTGTGAACATTATGTACCAGTCTTCACATAGCAGGTACATTAATTACAGACCATTAATGTAAACCACAAAAGAGTGGTGGGCAGTGGGTGGGGGGTGAATGGAAATGGAAAGAGGCAACAACTGAGGGCATTGTGCTTTCTGTGAGAAATATGGGGAGAAGGCTAGGAAATGTTCTTAACTTGTGTACTCAGAGCTATTTATGCCTTGAGTTCTAGAAAAGCACATACAACTTTGTGGTTTCGTGTGCTGTTTCTATCTACATCTCATACTGTTTTCTATTCTCAAAAAGTAACCCTGTCATCCTCTTTCCTCTCCAGATTATTTTCAGGATTAGCTTCTGTTATAAAAAATAGCTTGTACAGATCTCCTACAATAATTATTTTCTATTTTATTTCTAAGGTTTATTTATTTATTTATTGAGACAGACAGAGTTTCACTCTTGTGGCCCATGCTGGAGTGCAATGGTGCAATCTCGGCTCACTGCAACCTCTGCCTCCCAGGTTCAAGCGATTCTCCTGCTTCAGCCTCCTGAGTAGCTGGGATTACAGGCGCCTGCCACCACACTCGGCTAACTTTTTGTATTTCTAGTAGAGACGAAGTTTCACCATGTTGGCCAGGCTGGTCTTGAACTCCTGACCTCAAGTTATCCACCCACCTCAGCCTCCCAAAGTGCTGGGATTACAGGCGTGAGCCACTGTGCCTGGCCTCTAGGATTATATTAATAGAACAATCTTCAATTATTTTATCTTTCTTTATCTTTCTTTTCATGTAGGAAATGTCCTAAAATTTTCAAACCCTCAATTTGAAAGCACTTTTAAAATTATACATAGTCGAGCATTTTATATAAAAACAACTAAAAAGTCTGTGACATTTTGCAGTATAAAAATGCAATGGCAGCAGCAGGCCTTATTAATTGAGCCTCTTGGAAATGTGGCTGGTCCTAGGTCCGTAGCCTCAAAGGCCCTGGCTTGTAACTGCAGGAGCTGACCAGCACAGCTCTATAACCAAGTTGTACATCTTCTAGCCTGTGTCCAAGAAAACCAGAATCACAACGCTCTGTGGATAGTGACATCTTAAAGTTTTCTTTCCCTCCCAACTCTTTTGCCAGTTCATTGAATTGCTTTAATAATTTCCTTAGTTTCATTCATTATCTGTTAATAATCCATGTACATTTTGAGAGTAATTAAAACACATACGCACACACAGAAACAACCAACACAACACACAGCTACCACTGAATTACTTTCCAGTAAGAGATGTATGTATAAATGATTGTACCAAAAAAAAAAAAAGAAAGAAAATACCAGCTACAGGGCCCTGCCTGGGACTGCTTGATGCCAGGGGGAGAATGGGGTCTCCCCCTGGGTATGGGTGGGTATGGGCCTGCTGCTTCACCTTTCTGAGCCACAGTTCCCTATAGGGATATTTTGAACATCAGATGAGATAAGGATCACAGTGCCTAGGCATTTAATAAATATTCGTTGAATTAATAAAATCATCTGATTATGGTATGGTAGTAGTTCAGAAAATTCTGTCATAACCCTGTACTCTTTCTTTGGAAGGGCTCTAAATGGGAACACAATTAGTTGTAGTCTCTTGCATAGCTAATGTGAGAAAGAGGGAATGTGGTATAAACAATTTTTTAACTAAAAATAATATTTCCTTCCTTTATAACATCCTTCTTCCATCCCAAAGTATAGTTGTAAATGGAACTCAAAATTGTTGGTCTGGAATGACCGTTAGTGTGAAGGAGGAAAAGAAAATTGGGGTGTCTTATTTCCCCTCCTCTGATTCAGTTACTTAGATCACCTGAAACATACATATGATTCAGAGCATATATTTAGATGTTTTCACTTTCTTATTTGTGTGTGTGTGTGTTCAGTCAATTTGCTAATGAAGACACTGAAAGTCAGAAATTCCTGACAAATGGATTTTTGGGGAAAAAGAAGCTGGCAGATTATGCTGATGAACACGTAAGTGAATCTATGCTTTCAGGCAATAAACGGGACTGAGGGTGTCTGATCTACCTAGGTCTCTGTGGGAAAACAATGTGACTGAAATTTTCCAAGCCTTGATCAGCACATTCTGTGTTTATTCAGGCTCTTACTGGAATAAGGGCTTGTTTTTTCCTGTTCGCCATATGGCTGCATGAATCATTTATGAAACTTATGTGTTTTGGGGGGAAATCATTCTAACCCAAAGGTAATCTACAATCATACATGTTTTCCCTTCTTTATGTGACTCCCCTTGTAATTTGTATTTTTACTGAGGCCTCTGCTGAAACCAAGCACTGCATTCCGTTGAAAATTACATGCTTTTATTGATGTTGAGTAATGGCTTTACTCCTGTAATGTTATCTTAGTCTTCAATTTTGGACTGTAATCTGCAGATAATGTGAGAATAAGGATAACCCCTAAAGGTATGCCCTTTGGCAAATGTTTGCTTATAATACATCCCTTCTTTTTCAAGCATCCCGGAACCACTTCCTTTGGAATGTCTTCATTTAACCTGAGTAATGCCATCATGGGCAGTGGGATCCTGGGCTTGTCCTATGCCATGGCCAACACAGGGATCATACTTTTTATGTAAGTGAATGTATATGTCTACATTTGGTGATGAAGTCCATGCATACCTGGTGGCTTTTTCAATTAACAATCTCAAGTTTGATCTTTGTGAACGTGAAGACTCAGAGGAGGCTAATCATGGCACTTGGTCACCCAACCATCCCTAACCCAACGGCAGAAAGTGTATGTGCTCAATCAACCAAAGTGCTGGAGCAGCCTCGCCAGAAGAATTTTGTTATTCAGTAAATACTTGAAATAATTTGGTGTTTAGCAACCAAAAAGATCTTTCCCAGAAGCAAATCTGATTTTATCTCATTCTTAGGAAAGAAGCAACCAAGCCTAAGAGCCCTGCATGCCCTTGCCTACCTTATGTCCCATTCCCTGTACCCCTGTGCGACAGATACACTGGGCACAATAGCCTTCTCTCCATCCTATGAAGATGCCACATTCCCTCTCACCATTGGACCTTTGCACATGGTCTTGGAACCCTCTTCTCTTCCTTCTTCATCTAGTTAACTCCTCATATGTCAGTTCAGTCTCACCTGAATACTGCGCGCCCTGATCTCCATGACTGGGGCAAATCACCTTATCATAACACTCACCACAATTTTAATGTTTTAGTGCCATTTGTCTGATTCATTTGGTTAATATCTGTCCCTCTTGCTGGACTATAAGCTCTAGAAAGTTGAGCCCATGTCTGTTTTTACTCACCAATGTCTCTACCTCCAAACCTAGAGCAGTGCCTGGTACAGGCAATATTTGTTGAGTGACCAAACCTTATTCCTAAACCTACGTACTTTCACCAAACTTGTTCAAATGCTGCCTAAGGGTAGCAGCATCTGGTAGTTGACCTGTAGGGTGGATACTGCACTGTCTATGACAGACAACAACAGACGTTTATGTGCATCATGTACAGCCTGGCATTTTCCAGGATATAGTTGGCAGCAGTGGAATTCTTCACAAGAATAAAGTCTGATGTTAGGCACCACTGTGGACACAGATCCTAATCCCAAATGCAACGCTAGAGAGTTAAATAACTGTCTAAGAATGCAACATTTATATCACAAATATGTGCTGTTTATGTTCTGAATATCACATATGATTAGTAATCACACAGCTATTTGAGGGCTAAGCATCAGGACTATAAATATTTGTATTGTGTTAGTGCTTTGATTGAACTCTTTTATGTATAATATTCTTCAGCTGAATGGGTTTTTATATCAACTTTACTTTTATATAAGCCATGTTTTGAAATAAACTAGGATTTTAATAATCTGAATTTTAATAGCTATGTATGTAGTCATATATTTGTATGCTTTTGTAATGTGCTTACCTCTAAGACAAAAAAAGCTGCCTTTCCTTATTAATTATACATACCATTAAAATGAATTAGGAAGTTACAGATCACTGATGAATAGAAATAGGAAAAACTTCCCCCAATCCCACAGTCATAGATCATCTTCATGAGAGAAGAATGTTCCACTTTTTAAAATGAGGGCCTCATTTTAGGCTTATAAACACTTAGCAGATGAATTTGGTCAGAACAATTAAATCACTAAACATCATGGGGTGTGTTTTGTGTGTCTAAGTAGCCCAGACTGGATTAAGCTTTCTCTCTTAATTTATAGCAAGTGACACAGTATTTTAAAGGTTTTACTCTTAGTATTTTCTGCCAGAGAAAGTACATGTTTAGAATACAGGGAATGCTCATTATTTTTCCAGGGAACAAAATTATATAATCTGAATTACATTATTCCTTAAAAACAGTTAAGTTCATAAGGCATATGGAAAAATATAGGAATAAGTCATTGGTTAGACAGTTCTGGCAAACATACTCTATGGAAAATAAGAGTGCAACATAGCTACAGGGGTTATAAAATTTATAATTCATGGTCCAAATGTACATTTGTAGTATTGATTTCATTGGGAATTACCAAGGGATTAGATCAATTGTGGGGAAAGTGTATTTTTTAAAAATAAACAAAGATAAAGATTTTTTTTCTGAATTCCAGGTAAAAGGCAGCATTGCTCCTCCATTTATTACGTAGATGCTTCTATCAACATTCTTATTTTTGTGCTCCAAATCTTGGATTTGGAAAAATACCAATCCGTATAAACATAAAGAAACCATACATGCATGTGGGGGTCCTAACACCAGAAATAACTCTGAATGCAAAAAAAAAAAAAAAAAAAAAAAAGGAATTTTCGTGCCCCATCCTTAGCTTTCTCTGCTTTCTCTATTATATATGCAACTGCCTGCCCCTCTATCTTACAAAGTACTTCGTAATCTAATGCACAGGATCAGCAGTAATGCAGCTCAGACTGCATGCTTTCGCCTTTGGATTCCTAGATTTCAGATTAAGGTTTAGTCAGGCTATTGAATAGCCCTTCAATTCTAAGTGTTGATGTGAATATCATGCAAATATGATGTACATATTCCCATGTGCTGAGTAAGTAGATGTAGCATTTGCTAATGTTGCTATACATTTAGCATCTAAGTTATGAACCAGATTCTACCACTGGGTAACATTAAAAAAGTTAGGGACTTCAGGTATGTAAAATATAGCAAATTCTATTTCTACGACTTTAAAGGGTATGTGTAGAGTTCTGAAAAGAATTTCTCAGCCTCCCCCAAATCCACATACTTTTGGAAAGCTGATGATTGAAAAGATTAATGTGATCCTTTATTGTAACATCTAACATAATTACATTTTATTTATTGTAGAAACTTTATTACCTACTCTCTCTTCCCTTTGCAGAATCATGCTGCTTGCTGTGGCAATATTATCACTGTATTCAGTTCACCTTTTATTAAAAACAGCCAAGGAAGGAGGTATGCTACCACTTGAGTCCAACACATTCTATTTTAATTCTCATAAAAGAGTATTTCAGTCTGTTGCTTCATAACCTTAGGATGATTATAGTCAGTTTCACATTTCATTTTCTTCTGAGCCCAGTGACACGATCTCTCAGTGTTTATAGTTGTTTGGGCAAGTGAGAGGCAGGAGTGAAAGTCAACTGGCTCAGGTTCAAGACAAATAGAAAAAAGAAATTTCTGATATATGATAGAAATAACTGTTTTGACTTGCTACATGCAGCTAAAATAAATAAAACCATTGATTCTTGTTTGGAGAACATTTTGATATATTGCTTATTGGTTTTTGAGGTTGCATCTTTTGGGCTTATAATTTCTATATGATGTTTATTTACATGTTTGAGACTCCAGCATGGAATTATATGACAAAAATATTTTAGTCATTAAAACAATCTCTTTAACAAGGCTATTTTATCTTTGATTGTAGGGTCTTTGATTTATGAAAAATTAGGAGAAAAGGCATTTGGATGGCCGGGAAAAATTGGAGCTTTTGTTTCCATTACAATGCAGAACATTGGAGGTAAGGGGATATACTTTTCAATGGATCCCATAAACTTTCTATAGCGTGTTCAATAAATAAGAAAACTTATGGCAATAAACAGGCACTTTAGATACAGAAAAATTGCTACTTATAGTTCTTAAATTTTAAAATGATAGTTTCTTAAATAGGTTTGTGTCCTGCTTTAATTAAAAACAGCAATATCTAAGAATGAAATAACATATAAAACCCTGCCAATTGAATTCTAGAATTAAAATATAAAATAAAAGCTTTCTTGATTTTTAATGTTATTACAGCATGAATTATTACTCTTAAAAATTGAAGAATTTGTGCTTATATCTGTCATTGACAAAACAGTTGACGTTTTCTATGTGTGACTGAGTTCGATTTACTAAACTGAAAAGTGGTTGTCTGGGGGAACATAGCCAAATGCTGTGGTCCTTGAAACGCAGCCTGCACTGAGCCAGCCCACTAGACAGTGTCTCTGGAAGTTTACTAAGGCAAAAGTCTGGCTAGGCATCAAATGCACTATAAACCCCGGTTTGTTGATTCTATGGATTCTTATAATTCCCACTGAATTATCATTTCCAGTGTAGGACCTAGAAATATATATATATATTTTTAACAATGTTCTCTCGTTGGTGTGTTTGCCCACCAGCTTCATACTGTTTCTGTTGTGTCTTTGGCCCTCAGAAGGCATCCAAACCCATATTTCAGATGTCCTGCCGGCTGCTTCCTGGCACATGGCCCCAGCCATCTCCCCACATAATGACACTTACTCCCTCACCTCCTACCCAGTCCCTAAACCTGCTATTCTATTTCTCTGATCTTTCTTTTCTCAGTGAATACCACCAGCAGTCATCCAGTTTCTGAGGGCAGAAATCTGGATGTCAGCGTAAATGTTTCCTTTTCCCCAACTCTGCATGTCCAATCAAATGGCAAAGTCTGTTCATTTGATCTCTTACTTATCTCTTGAACCTCTCCTCTCTGTCCGTCCTCATGACCACAGATGATCACCATTTATAGCTCAGACTATTGCAGTAGTCTTCTAACTGGTCTTCCTGGCTTGAGTTTCCCCTGCTCTCAGATAAACTCTAATTTGTTCTCCAGATAAACTTTCTCAAATTTGAGTCTGTTTCTACTTTTGTCGTGCATAAAATTCTTCAGCATGCCTTTATTATTTTCAAGGAAAAACTTAAACTCATTGGACTGACACAAGATCTTCGTCTAGTTCTTCTGCTCAATCTTTCTAAACCTTTCCTAGCAATGCCCATATCTATCTATCTTTATCTATCTATCTATCTATCTATCTATCTATCTATCTATCTATCTATCATCTATCAATTTATCCATCATCTATACCCTACATGTCCTGTGTCAAACCATAACAAATTATATTTATTCCCCTAACAGTACTATTTTAATATTTTTAAAAATCATCCATGCCTTCTTTTCACAGGCTACTTTCTCCCCTTGACTGTCTCTCAAAGTCCTCCAACCCTAACACACACACACACACACACACACACACACACACACACATTTTCTCTCTCACTCTGCTCACCTGGTCTATTGCTCCTCTAGACTGGTAAATACTAGTTCCTCTGGGCTCTCATGGTCCTGTTTGTATCTAGTATGTTACTGTTTTCTAAAGGATATTTTAAAACACTTGAGTAGAGAATAAGCTTTTGGAGTCTGATGGACCTGAATTTGAGTCTGTTTCTGTCACTATCTGTGAACTTGGGAAGATCACTGTACTCCTTTGTCTAATTTTTTCATGTATAAAAATTACCTTACAAAGGCTATTGTGAGGATGAAATAAGGTAACATATGGCACATAATAAGTGTTCTGTATATGCTTCTCTCCTCCCTGGTTCTCTGCTTCCATATCCATGTCTCTGGAGTTGCCTGAATTATTTTTTAAATAGGCATTTAAAAAATTATAAAACAAATATATGATGATTGTGAAAAACTAAAACACTGCATAAATATATAAATTACCAAGAAAAGTTTATGTCAGTCATCCTCAGAAATAACTACTCATAGGTTTTCCCCTATGCCTAATTCAACAAATACATTGAATATTGTTAGTATTGGATCATCTTATGATACCGATTTTCAGCTTTCTTTTTAAATTTAACAATATGCCTTGAATATATTTGCATGTTATTCTTTTTAATGATTTTTGAGGTTTCCATTACACAAATGTGCCATAATTTGTTTACAGTATCCTTATTGATGAACAGTTGGATTGTTTCTAATTTTTCACTGTTATAAAAATGCTACAGTAAATACACTTGCACAGAGATCTTGCAAACAGGCAACCCATTTTAATAAATAAATTCACTGGAGTTATCAAGGATTTCTGGAATGCAGAAATTTCTTTAGTAATCTATCTAACTATACTCACCCTGATAATGGATAGTTGGTAAGCAGATAAGTAAAATTCAGCCATATCTTATGATTTGTGTTAAAAAAATTTTTATATGTTAAGACTACAATCTTGGGTAGAATTTGACAGTAATATCAAAATTGTCTCATTCATTTTACTGGTTTGGAGCCATATGCATATTAGCCCCCCAAATCCCAACAAATAGACCACTTTACATTTGTTTCAAACTCTCAGCCTTATCAAGGTTTAAAGTATCGAGCATTTCATAGGATTGCCTTATAGTTGGTCTAATTTAACAACTGAAATAACCAGGCATAAGCATAATTAACCCTGGACTCAAGAAGTTGAGTGGCAGCACCTCAGCTGTGGTTCAAAGCATAGCCACTACTACGCTTCTAAACAATGGAATAAAGTATAAAGCGGTCTCTCAGTCAAGCCTCACACAGGTAAGAGGCGTGACTTTAAGGGAGTAAGATGAAATATCGTAACATCACCCCAGAAATAATGCTCTCACTTTGGTTACTTTATTTGATTAGTTGATATTTGGCATAAGAGAAATCACTTGTATTTCTCTATTTAACAACTCTACATTTAGAACACTTAATTTTCTCAATCCCCTAAAAAATTAACATTTACTGCAGATGTTTTCACATTAACAGATTAATGTCTGGATCATTCTGAATTTTTGAAGACCAAACATGTTAACATCACTGACATCACTGAAAACCAGCAATTAATAGCTGTAACATTGAATGGTACCTCACCAAGCCAGCTAATCAGAAATATCTCCTGTGTTCACACTCTGTAAGATTTAGCTTTAGCCAAGGTCTTTGCAAAGATTAACCAAATAATGTGTACAGAAGGTACATCCGCTATTGTAAAAATCATTTCACTTTGACAGTACAGAAGAAGCACCAGCCCTTCTGTTTTAGATGTAGTCCGTCCTTTTCAAGCTGTATGATTGTGGACATGTCAACTTAACATCTCGGAGTTTTTATATCTTCATCAGTGGAATGAGAATAACAACATATATCTTGTCATCTCACAGGGTTTTTCAGATGATCAAATGAAGTAATGTGCAGAACTAACCAATGTGGGGAATTATTATCATCACTGTTACTTTCATATGAAGTGAAGAAAATATTTTTAAACTCAGTAGTTTAATTTACAATTTAAGTATGTGTTTTAAAGTGCCTGTTAGCAAAAATTCACTAGAAGGATGTAGGACACACTTAAAGTTTTCATGTAAAATTTGTGAGTTCTATTTTTAACTGAATCTTTTGGCCATGTGTCAACAAATTAACGTTATCCTTCACCAAATGGGTGGGCTTGAAAAAGGCGTGATGCATAAATATTTACAGTTGTAGGCAAAATTGTAATGTTATGTATATGAATACATATTCATTTTTTCAGGGAGAAGGCTTGTAGATTTCATCAAGAAATCTTTCACAAGAGTAGATAATCATTCATGTATCACTTACCTAGATGCTCATGAAATTTTGCCACTTTATATAATTCCTTAGTTAGCCAAAAGGAGAGTAAGATGAAGAGGGGGGAAAAAAAAAAACTTCTTTGACAAAGATGGAGAGAAGCTGTCATCTCTTGTATTCTTTTATCAATCCAGGAAGCCTTTGGTTCTGACAATAAGTGGTCTGAGACTTTGTGTACTCCTCAGATAGGTCCCGGAGGACTAGATTGGTGCCCATCTGCAGAAAACCAGAGGGGATATATTGACTCTGCAGATCTGCCCTTTGATTCTGCCATCTCTCAGCTGGCCCATGCCTTTTGTTGCCAGACTACTGCCCAAGTTATAGACACTAACACAGGCACACTGAGTATGGGCTATGTTGATTTATAACTAATGAGGGCAGAACCTTAGAACTGCAGCTTCACTGTAAACTTTGGAGCAGGATTTAACACAGAATCAGCCCTGATACTGTTAACAAAGGTCCACCTGAAAGAGCTGGAAGGTCAAATGTCTATCTTGGAAGAGAACTTGGAAGCAGTGCCAAATACACAATGACTTTTTTTTCCATTTGGGGGATTAGATGTTCATCTTACATATCCCAAATGTCATAACTTGCTTGCATGTGACTTCAGTACTGTCCACACCATTAAGCTGTCACATTTTCCATTTTAGCAATGTCAAGCTACCTCTTTATCATTAAATATGAACTACCTGAAGTAATCAGAGCATTCATGGGACTTGAAGAAAATACTGGGTATGTCTTATGCTCCCTCTGTGACATCAAGTGACTCATTCTACTTGGTCTTTTCTGATTCTAATATCCTTGTCTCTCACTTCTAGAGAATGGTACCTCAATGGCAACTACCTCATCATATTTGTGTCTGTTGGAATTATTCTTCCACTTTCGCTCCTTAAAAATTTAGGTAAAGATATTTTCTAACTGGAAATATTTTTATTTTTATTTCACATTTAAATAGGTTAGCTAATTGTAGATGCCATATTCACCTTCCAAAATGCTTCTTCTAACTTCTAGGTTATCTTGGCTATACCAGTGGATTTTCTCTTACCTGCATGGTGTTTTTTGTTAGTGTGGTAAGTGATGTGATGACATGATCCTTGCAGGTTGGTTAGCATGAGTTTTTTTGTGCCTAAATTAGTGTCCTCATTTTGTTCAAGCACTTCACTAATATGAAATAGTTCTTGTATCACAAGTGATTTTCTTGTAGACTAATTTAGAGCAAAAAAAGAGCAGCTACGATTTAAAGATAGTTGAGGTAGAATATCAAAGCTACTACTAATGGTTTGGTCTAGGCACACTGGTTATATATGGGGAAAAAAGGAAAACTTCAAGCAGGAACATGACAATAATCTGGCATTTAGAACAGCAGAGGAGAGTCCCAGATGAGAAACAAGAAGGCTATACCCATATTCACATGAATCAGCCATTCTCTCTTACACATTCCACCCATTAAGAGAGGACAAGAACAGTGGGATTAAAGAAGAAATCCTCCTCTCTAGGCCCCTGACAAAAGAGGGAATTTCTTGCACTATCATGAATGCCAAAATTTATAAAGCATTTCCCCAAAGAGGTAAAGGAGAAGGAAAAAAAGTTTTGAAGACCCATGTCACCTTAGTTTGAAGAAATAAGGAAATGATCATCTTTCTCATGGAAGGGCATGAAAGAGGGTGGGAAGGATTCTTGCAAAATATTGTCCTGTTAACTCTAAGAGGCAGGGCTGCCAATCACAGCTCCAACTCTTCCCTTAGAACAGAGGCTAGAGGAAGTTTACTTTGTCCATTAGTCTAAAAGGAATCCCTAACTGAGTTCCCTCACCCCCCACCCTATAAGCCACACATATGGATTCTTATTTCATTGTTTTTTCTCAAAAAGCTGATTTTTTTTTCTTTTTTAATGACTGAGTCTAGGTGATTTACAAGAAATTCCAAATACCCTGCCCTCTACCTGTTTTGGATCACAGTGTTGGAAATCTGTCATTCAACAACACGCTTCCAATGCATGTGGTAATGTTACCCAACAACTCTGAGAGTTCTGATGTGAACTTCATGATGGATTACACCCACCGCAATCCTGCAGGGCTGGATGAGAACCAGGCCAAGGGCTCTCTTCATGACAGTGGAGTAGAATATGAAGCTCATAGTGATGACAAGTGTGAACCCAAATACTTTGTATTCAACTCCCGGGTAAGTGAGCGGTCCGGGCTTCTAATGAGTACAGTTATGTGTTTTCTAAGTTTTTATTCAATAAACTGAGATGGCCTGAGATCACCATCTATGTTGGAATGCTAAACACGTGGTGTTGTCTTTGTTTTTCAGACGGCCTATGCAATTCCTATCCTAGTATTTGCTTTTGTATGCCACCCTGAGGTCCTTCCCATCTACAGTGAACTTAAAGAGTAAGGCAGCCATCATTTTAGCATTCTAATTTGCTTTGAAATTCTGCTCATATGTTCAAAGATTCTTTAACAGGAAACACAGTTTATAGCTTCCTCTTCAGAGAAAATATGTACTCCATCCACTCCTCAGTAACATGCTTTAATCAGAAAGGTGGGAATCAGCCCACCACAGCACTACCTTATCTTCTTTCTCTCCTTTCTCTCCACCATAATGGTTCAGGGGAGGGGTTCATGGCAGGTGGACAAGGAGTCGATGGTTGTAATAATTTTGGCAGGTGTTGGGAATTTAAATTTGAATTTTGTTCGGAAGAAACGATGTCAGCTGGACTAGAAATGAAAACACCCATGACGACCAAAACTTATGGTTAGGGGCAGCCTCGATAAGCCAGTGATGTCATTTATAGTCAGCACCTAACCCTTGTCTAGAACACATTCATTACAAGAGATGTGTCAATATCTGTCCTTTGTTGTCTTATTTGTACAATAGAGTCACTGGCTAGAAAATCTTGTTTCTTCCAGCTGATGGTCTATGGTTCATTTGTATTCTTTTCCCTTTGAAGTTGTTGATATTTGCTTGGGAACAAAGGATATGAACTCATTATAGCTGTTTTCCTCTTTCCTTTAAGGGAGGGTATTATATAATAATTCTCAACTTCTTTAATCTAGACATCAGTAACCTCAGTCTTCATTCTCACTAAATAGCAAAACTTTCCCCATAAATTCTGATTTACCTCATAAAAAATTTCAGAACACTTTCAAGTATTTTGATGTCTTTGATTTACTTTGAAAATTACATGTAGCAGTTACTCCAGAAGCCTGACAATTGATCTTTGGCAGCCAGGTTCCTTCTAGAATGGTTTTCAGAAGCTTTTCAGGTAGTCTGGACTCCTGGCAGTAGTACTTTGCTGACTCTACTAGGTTCTTTTCCTCATCTAAAGTCATCTCATTATGAAATGCAAAAGCTTTCTATGTTAGGAGCCTGTTTGATCTTTATGTTAATTATATTCTTATTCAGTGGGCAAGCTTACTGACCTACGTGAAATAGACTGTTCCTCTTCTAGGGAAATGATTGTTTTTAAGACTGAAGGACTAGTGTTTAAGAAAAATGGAAATGAATCCTCATTAGCTCTCTAAGACAAATTTAAATCAGCTATAAGTTTATGTACTAAATATGTCTTCATGATGAGCAATATAGATATACTTTTTTATTATTATTTTCATTTTGAAAAGTGATTTTTTTTTGTAAGTTTAAAAAACAAAGCTTGGTGTTCTTTCTTTTTCCAGTCGGTCCCGGAGAAAAATGCAAACGGTGTCAAATATTTCCATCACGGGGATGCTTGTCATGTACCTGCTTGCCGCCCTCTTTGGTTACCTAACCTTCTATGGTAGGTCACTCTGAAAGTCATTCTCTATATGCAAATCCTTGTTAGGCTGGTCCTTGACCTGGGTAGGTATGATTTTTAAAAATTGCCTTCTATAAGCATGCTCTATAGATGACACATATTCAATTAATATACTATTTTAGTTTTGTCACTTGACCTGAGGAAATGGGGCCTGATTCAGCCTGGCTAACAAGTTACAAGAATTTGTGAATTAACACCTATTTTATAAAAAATATCCCTCAAACAAAATTATTTTCCTCTAGGGATAGATGATATTTCTCTGGCTAGACTCCATAGTCCAACTCAGGCTACAAGTGATGAGAATGAATCCACTTGCATGTGATAAAGCTCCTTTGATGGAATTATTACCTGCCACACAAATAGCAGGGAAACTGCCAGGTCCTCAAGTTTGAATTTGCCTCCTCTTTACCAGTCAAGTCAAATCTGGGAGCTTGGGACTTTAGGTAAAATTTCTGACATATCCCATTCTATTTTGTTATACTAAATGATTTCCTAAGAAAGAGGACATGACAGAATTTCCTTCAATCTAAGAATGCACCACCAAAAAAAAGTGACTATGGCCACATTAGATTATGCCTGCAACATTTCCTCTCTGGCATCTTAACAGTTCACAAAGGGAGTAGGATTGTACTCCTTCCATGAAGTGTGGCCACATAAACAGATTTCATGGAATCACATATTGACCTGGTAGCATATGTTTACATGAATCAGTGTATCAATATAAATATATTTTTGTATAAACCTCCTTTTAAAGTTTTTAACTTAATTTTTTTCTTACTGACTTGGTAAATTGAATTGCATGTATGACAAATTGTGGAGGAAAAGATTCAGGAGTAGGCCACCATTTGCTTAGGTTTTTTTTCTATTTGACTAATATTTGACTATTAACCAAACATGTGCTTTAGATTGGGCATTAACTTTTTGCCGGTTGTGAAATAATGAATGACGAGGTCAATACTACTGAAGGTATTTTCACTCCTTTTTGTCTGATCTTGAGGTGAAAATCCAACTACGCTTGATTCCATAGATATTTTCTTGTTATTTGTGCTTGGAGTCCTGAATGAAGGTGTTTTCAAGTAGGGCTGCATCTTCGTCTTAGAGTAGTACCCACTGGGAGACCATCTAAAAATTATACTAATTTATCCCTGCATGTTACTTATACTTATTTTAATGAGTTTCATAAGACAAGCAAAAACTTGAAAGAGCCCAAAAATATCTGTTTTAGTGTGGTGATGGAGTCATAGTTGTTGAGCTTGAAAAAATGGTAGCAATCATTCATCCTAGAGTTTACACACTGGGTTTGTAACCTGCATCAGGAGTGGCTGCGCAGGTAGGGACAGGGGAGGTGGTAGGCTGGGAGAGACAATATGTGGGGCTTGGGTCTCTCATCCCCTTCAACAAGAGCACCTTGGTCTCTGTCTGATTTGTAATTGCTTCTGTACAGCGGAGATAGATTTATCACAATGTAAATGAGCTTGAGAGGCTCTTTATTTTGTATTATACCTTCTGCAACGTTATCAGCTTCAGGACCTCTTTGTTCATTTGAATGAAGGTTGCATAGCTAATGAGCTCAGAGGCAAGACCAGAGGTGCCTGGATTCCCAGGCCTAGGTCTTTTCCTCTGTTCTGTGTTCTCTCTATAAAATGTTGCCATAAGTGACCTGTGCTGATTTGACAACACCAAGCGGTTTCATTCTCTTTTTCCTGTTGTAGGAGAAGTTGAAGATGAATTACTTCATGCCTACAGCAAAGTGTATACATTAGACATCCCTCTTCTCATGGTTCGCCTGGCAGTCCTTGTGGCAGTAACACTAACTGTGCCCATTGTCCTCTTCCCAGTAAGTACATAAGACTTTGATGAAAGAAACCTACTTGACCCCATAAATTAGTACATGTGTTCTACCTTCATTTTGATTTAATTATAGGGTGAGTTTGCAATTGCAATGCCTGAGGATATTATTTTCCTATAGCATTTTGAGTCACTTAAAATTGGCCATTTAATGTGTAGATAGAGCAAGTAGTTTCAGGTGGTATTTTTATAGTGTAGGAAAAAAATCATAAAACTTATTTTTAAACTCAAAGTTGAAAAGTGGAGCTGGAGCTTCTGTCTTGTGGATTAGTAAAACTGAGTAGGAGTTCATATAACTTTGGAACCTTGAAAGCCAAAACCATATTAACTTTCAAATCTTATTAAATTTCATCACAGTTTTGAAGGCATTTCATTTTTTTTCCAGTTTGTTGTGCTGCAATAATATACAAAAGTTGCCTTTTTTAACCTGATGCCTTGAAGGCTAATGAAAAGGGGATTCATGTTAAGTAAATTATATACCAGAAAAAAATTTTTCAAAAAACAGTTATGCTATCTATCACATATCTCTCTCACACATGGCCTCTGCCAGACTCACACCAGGTCACCCCTCCCTGGCATTTGTCATTGGTGTCAGTTTGTTCTGAGATCCCAGAGCAGAGCTGGTAGTGAAGATTTGGGCTGTGTGAGTTAAAACCACCACCTAAGGATAAACACAGGTCTTCACCCTCCTGCCAGCTCCTGTTTCATAAACACTGAATTTACTCATTCATTTGAGGGGGAAAAAAATAAGTGACACAGTAACCAGCACTGTCCTGGACATAATGTTCCATACAGGGCTTGCATATGAAGACTATTTCTATAATGACACTGTGGTCACTTTAAATGCAGCTTGTGTGCTGAAATATATTTTGGCACATTCCTTTTTCATGAGTGCATGAAATCAGATCCGTACTACTATGGTGGCTAATATTTTACTCTTAAATCATGTCTTGCCTCTAATATATCTGAAAGTATTTCAGATGACATACACATAGCTTTAGCCTAAAATCAGCTCCGTCTTGGGTACAAGACAGAAGACAACTATAAACAGAAGGTATACGATAGGGTAAAATTGCCAGGCAAACAACTTCACTGAGAAAAGGATATCTGGAGCCCTTCTTTTTATGTGTAAAAAAATCACTCACTAAATTTTGGCACAGTGTAAGCATTCACATCATTGTAGAATCAAAGCATAAGAAATCTGTGATGTGCTTCTGTATTGCTTTATTCATATTCATATAGTGTTTTCAAGCCATGGTTTTAAGGGATTGCCAGAATTGGCCATCGTCACACAGACAGCTGGTAACAGTTCAACTAGTGCAGCTCATAGCCCAACACTGAGGGCTGCAATTATTGTCATGGGAAGTAAAAGTCATTTACTGATGAACATTTCACCTCAGCATGGAAAATCCAAATCTCCCCTTAGAAATTCTTACCCTATGTGAGAAATAAAGCACTGATATAAATCTGACCATCAGGAACAGCAATAGTGTGTAAACATTAGATGCCATTAGAACCAAAATTGACCATAAGAACCAGAGTTCAGAAAAATGACTAACTGCTGTCCTTCATTATGTATTTCCACTCAACATTAGCATTTATGAAACATTTTGCACATTATCCTGTCCTCACCCTTGCAATGTTACATTTATATAATCTGTGTAAGTGCTCCACTGCCCCACAGAGTCATAAGTCCCTGGGACTTGGTGATGTGCACAGTGACTGGCACAGAGGGTGAGCTCCGTCGTGCTTGGGAAGAAAAATGGTCTTCAAATGAATCTTGCTTTGTCTTGAAATGTATAAACTGCCTTTTCTAGCAAAAGCATAGACACTCTTTCCCTTGGTGACATGTGCTACGAATTCAGCTGGGTTGAGGATCTGGGCTAAATGAACCAAACCTCCCTATACATGAAGGATACACAGAGAAGGTGACAGAGAGTGGTCACTTCCGTGAGTGGATCTCAATCAAGTCCTCTGAAGCTAAATTCAATTTTTTTTCTTTACTAAAATGATAAAAGTTGTTATTGGCGCTTTTGCTTGTTTATTTCGTATAACTTAGGGCTCAGATTTTCAATGTGTCAAATGCTGACTCACAGCATGGTTCTCCTGACAGTTTATTTCATTTAAGGAACTCTTCACCAGTAAGTTTATTTACTTGCCTTGATATCTCCACACATTAATAATAAAACTAACAAAACCTAATCTGAATTAAAATCTATCAGCTTTAGGCATTATTTTGTGTTCTCCTTCTTTCAACATGGTAACTGGGCTCTCTTTCTTAGGAGCTTGAGAAGATATGACTGGGGTTTGTTTTTCTCTACTTCATTTATTATCTTTCTTTTTTCCAATCAGGTTAGTTTTTTCCTTTTTAGTAAAAGGTGCATAGTAACTGCTTGTAGTATTTGTTGAACAAGTGAATAAATGAAATGAATTAAGGTAGTGTTTTCACTAGCAGCCCAACATTTCTTTCTCTCTTAGTAGTGGGTGGGGTATCAGTTATGGAATGGCACCTCCTTCCAGAGGACTGATCATGTCATTTTCAGCTTATGCTTCCCTTTATGCAGTAAAGTTTCCATATTTCCATAAAGAACAAGAAACCAAATAATCCTAATGGATATATAATGAACACACAGATGAAAATTTCACCTGCCATGCCTTTGAAAAAAGATCCCTAGCTACTTGTATTTCATCTTATAATTAAAATCAGTCTTTTCACTTATGTTGCCTTCAGATCTCCTGTTTTGAAGTGTATATAGATATCAACATAGAAATGCAGCGTATATTGCTATCAACTGCAGTGGAGCAGTGATTCGTAGGTTTTCCAACATCCTTGCCTTAAGCAAACCTGCAAAATCAAAGTGTGAGCTACGTCTAAACAATGGGAGAGGCTTTTTTTTTTTTTTTAAGAGTTAGAACTAAGACTCTCACTTCCTCCTGTGCCTCCACATTTTTGACCTTCACATTGGGCCCCTGCATCAGAATACAGCACCCCCTAACAGGCTCCTGTTCAGGACTCTTTCTCTGGAAATAACAGATGTTGTCTCTAGAGCTGCATAGAACCTTAATGGAATCATTGTGGGTCAGAGGCCCTGGATGGTGCTGGGGACCTCCCTGACCCACAGCATCTGACCCACATTTCCAGGTTCCTAGCGACTTGTGTCAGTAAAGAAAAAGGCACATAGCTAAGTGGAAGAGCAGATGAGGCTTGGTGGGAATCAGCCAGTGGTCTGCCCTAGCAAAGGTAAACAGAACTGCTGGGGGCTTTTGGTCCTAGGCTCACTACTCAGGGAGGCACTTTAACATGGAATGACCAGCAAGTTTCCTTCCTGATCTTTTCCACCACCACCACAAGCCTAGTACCTCCCTCCCTCTTTGCTCTGTTGCTCTCTTCAGGAATGCACTGGAAACCACCTTCAGTTCTGTTTGGAATTTTCCTATTCCTTATTCAGAAAGAGGAAGAAGCTTTTGCATTTACTCCAACCGTTCTACCTATTATTGCCATAAACTTTCTGTGATCTCATATCATTAGGCCAAATGTTAATCTTTCTGGGAGCCAGGAGACTGCTTTCACATTCAGAGGCCCTGGACATATAGGACTGCCTCTAACTCACTCTAACTCAGCTTATTGACTTGAATGCACCTTTTTAACAAGTGACTAAAAAACAAACTGTGACTATTCTCTGAAAATGAGCCTATATCTCATACTTATTTATTCTGTTTAACACTGTGAAACAAATTAAGTCCTCTGGCACTATGTATATACCATAAAAAGCTTATTCGTAAGCCTACTAATTGGACCAGTTTTGACAATATTGAATAAGCACTAATTGCAGATCATAATGTAGAATTATAGGCTGCTGAGGAAAACAATATCACACCATTTGCTTTCCTCAGTTTCCTTTTCAGAATGAGTTTCATAATGTTCACTAATCCAATTTTTAAAATCCTTTACAAAGTTATTCTTAAACTATTTCCAGAGACTATCTGGTTTGTCATTCTAGAAATGAAATTGCCTTTTCAGCCTAAACAGATGGCCTTAATTTTTGGTGGAGTGGTATGAAAGGAATGTCACATGAGAAACTGCAAGCTATTTAGCTTGAATTTTTTGTCATTCATACATGTTTCAAAATATATTTTACATTTTCTCTCTTTTAAATGAGTTCCCATCTCTGCACCTTAAGTGACTTCAGAACTAAAATTTTAAAGTGAACATCAATCACAGCATTTCCAAAAATGTGAACTCCTAGCTTAACCGAAGTATTCACTTATTGGAAAGCTGATAGAGTAATTCCACTAAGTCCAAAAAGTGTCCTCTAAAAGATTCCAAAGATAAGAGTGTTTTCAACTTTGTCAAGCTGTACAAACACAAATGTCACTCCCTCCCTCTGCCCACAGGGATCTTTATCCAGTTACAGCAGCGTAACTTGAGCAGCTGCTGCAAACTGAGGCTCTCTTGACCCTTCGCCTACTTATTTCAGCTGCTAAAATAGGGCTGAAATCTGTCAAGGATCCTGAAGGGAAGGATAAGATTCCTACTATTCAATTTAATTTAAGCTTTTATTCAGTGCCTGCTGTGTGCACAACACTAAGCTAGAAAGTCTGAGGAATGTTTAGATTATTAGGTCCTGTTCCTTGCCTTTCATAGATTTACAATCTATTGATAGGGAGAGCTAAAAAGGAGAGAAAGAGGAAGGAGCAAACACAAAAACGTCAAAATTTTAAAATACCATTTTAAAATTTTATTTTAAAATGTTAAATACCATGCAAAATTAAGGAAAACCTAGATTCATAAAAATTCCTTTCACAATCTTGTGTAAATCAATTCAGTGCTTGCCCTTAATGTCTCATCCAGTCTGATGAGACATGTTTTGTGATCAACAAGGGTTTTACTATGTTTCTTAATTATGTGTCTTGCCTGTTATCTCTTTCTGACCGAGATTATTTTTAACAATAAATTCTGAAAACTAAGAAAGTGAAAGCATAAAATATTGTCTTATAAAATAGGCCAAGGAAAAAATGACACTCCATTTCAAATATCAAAAGTTAGCATCAAGACTGCACAAGATGAATGTACAGTCATGTGTTGCTTACAAATGTGGACATATTCTGAGAAATGCATCTTTAGGCAATTTTGTCATTGTGCAAACACCATAGATTGTACTTGCAGCCTAATTGGTGGAGCCTACTATACACTAAGGCTATATGGCATAGCCTAGTACTCCTAGGCTACAAACCTGTACAGCATGTTACTGTACTGAATAGTGGAGGTACCTGTAACATAATGGTAAGTATTTGTGTCTCCAAACGTAGAAAAGCTACTGTAAAAATACAGTATTACAACCTTAGGGTATCACTGTCTTATATGTGGTCTGTTGTTGACCGAAATGACTATGCTTAATACCACTGAACTGTACACTTAAAAATGGTTAAGATGGTAAATTCTATGTTATGTATGTTTTATAATAATAAAAAAATTGAAAAAAGCATCAACATCTTTTCTGGGAAAAAAGAAAAGGAAAGAAAATGCATTAGAGTGATGAGAATATTTGAAGTAATAGATAAAGTCAAAAACAAAGAAATGATCTTGCCTTTGAACTTTCTTGTTTAAGATTCGTACATCAGTGATCACACTGTTATTTCCCAAACGACCCTTCAGCTGGATACGACATTTCCTGATTGCAGCTGTGCTTATTGCACTTAATAATGTTCTGGTCATCCTTGTGCCAACTATAAAATACATCTTCGGATTCATAGGTGAGTTTCAGAAAGGCTTCAATTTGGTCAACCCAAACTCACGCCTCATTAAATGATGGACAGGGAACCAGTGCTGGGTCATCCAGATCCCCGTTCTTTCTCAGGCTCATGGATTCCCTTTATCCCTGAGAGGCTCTGGTGATTGAGCTGCTCACTGTCTCTTCCTCCTAACTGACATTGGGAGCCACCTTATAGGTCATTTAGTCAAGCTGCTTTTTCTGATAGATGAGGAAACTGACCCCTATAAAAGTCAAGTCATATACCTTGGTGTGGACCCAGGATTTGGACTTAGGTATTAGCTCCACCATCAGGAAAAGAGGAAGATAGATTTTACCTGCCAGAAGCTCTCTGATACTACGAGTATCAGCTGAACATTGAAAGGTATCTTCAGAGGAATAGGAGGTTGATTATATAAAGTGTATTATTAGTATTTCCCCATAACTGCATGGTCTATTAATTTTCATTCTACTCATTGAGGGTTTACTTAAACTTTAAACACAATCTAAAACTTTAAAAGAACCATGGGTAGGTCACTTGCAAAGTAAGAGGTGGATAGGGTGTGTCATGAGTTCAGCCACCTTAGTATGTATTTATATTACTAATCCCCTGTAAATTTGTGTTAAATTCAGCCTTTTGTTGCTTATTATATGTTGCATATACTTATGCAGCTTTGATGTTAGGTACATTTTAATTGTCTCTATAAACATATCTTCTATGAATAAATAACCAAGATGAGCTTATGTGACTTAAGTGTGTGTTTTTAGTGCTAAGTATAGGATAGCTTTATATTTGGTTTATTTAAAGTGTGTGCTGGCATCTCCTTTGCTAGGAACTGCTGGGTAAGACATTGACCTTGCCCTGTGTTTGTCTTCTCAGGGGCTTCTTCTGCCACTATGCTGATTTTTATTCTTCCAGCAGTTTTTTATCTTAAACTTGTCAAGAAAGAAACTTTTAGGTCACCCCAAAAGGTCGGGGTAAGTAAACCTTGCAATTTCCCCCATTATTAGTTGTTCTTCCAACTACTTAGAATAAACTAGAAAATACACATAGTTCAGAAAAATGAATCAATGTACAAGAACCAAAAATCAAAACTGGGCTAGAACTTTCTGGTAGCAGAGAAAGGGGACATATTTCTGAAACTCAAATGATTCTACTTCAAATATCAAATATCCTGTGTTGAGTCTGTCATACATGTCAAATAGTAGTAGCCTTTCCCACAGACACATATGCTTCAGGCAAATAGCAGTGTCCAATACCAAGCTGCTGTTGTGCTATCCGTGGAAAATCATGCAAGAAGGAATTAGGCTCCCTAGCGGTGTTATGGAATAATTTAAATATTTTGGTCATGGTTGTTAGGTTTGCAAAGCCAAAGGAAAGATGTTGCTTTTGTTTTCCCTTCCATAGTACCTGTTGTCCCTGGTGTGGACTAAGATCCAGAACAGAACCATTCATCGTTCTGTTAACCTCTTTAGATACAAAATACAGTCTTATTAAATTAGAGAGTACATATTTCTTTTCCATAAGACTACTATAGAAACAAATGCTAGAAATAATTGTTTTTCCAATAAGGAAATATTATCTTTCACTCCTTAATAAAGTCATGTTAAGGCTTGAAAAGAATATTTCTTACTGAATTACTCTGAATTTTTACCTTGAAGTCATTTACCTTTGGGATGTTCTGGGGACTTCAGGATAATTTGGTATCAAAAGGTCCACCCAGCAGCTTGCTCCCAAATTTTAACTCTATGTAGTCCGTCTTGCTTGGATTTTTACAGCAGTGTGACCTTGGCAAATTACTTGTCCTGTTTGTGACCTATTTTCAGTTTGACCAATTGTGAAATGAGTACAATTATCTCCTAGACCCATTCTAGTGAAAAATGTTTAGTTGCTGCTTTCTTATATGTAGGATTAGGAGGTTTAAGTATGTGATAAAATGTAAGGCCTCTTCTGGTGTTAAAATGCTGAAGTATTTTATATGTAGGTATGTACATATATCCTTATATATGTGTGTGTATATTATATGTATGCACACACACACACACACATATATACACTTTTTGTTGCAACATCTATTAAGCTTTTGGTTTTGTTTGCTTTATAAAATTAGAATCATATCATATATGCTATTCTTTTTTAACCTGCTCTTTTTCACCTAAAAGATTGTAAGCATTCTCTAGATTATTGAATCTTTTTCTGTCCCTTGATTTTTAATAATCACAGGGTATTCCATCATCTTGGTGTACTAAATCAATTAACTATTACTCCATTGTTGAACCTGTAGGTTGTATCTCTCCACTGTATTCCTCTTCTTTCTTCAACTAGGATTCTAAATTGACTGATAGGTTAGGCCTGGGCATCTGAGATATTAAGAATAATATGGCTCAATATATAGATCAGATTGCCATATTATGTAAACAACTAAAAAACAAATTGTACTAAGTATGGTTTCTGTGCTCCTAACAGAGTCTCTCTGAATTACAGGCTTTAATTTTCCTTGTGGTTGGAATATTCTTCATGATTGGAAGCATGGCACTCATTATAATTGACTGGATTTATGATCCTCCAAATTCCAAGCATCACTAACACAAGGAAAAATACTTTCTTTTTCTATTGGAAATGGTTACAAGTTATACTCCAAAAGATATTTGAATTATCTTGATTGGAATGTTATTCATAGGAAATAACAGGAAGATTCCAAAGACGTTTACCAGTAATATCACCAGGCACCTGCAGAAGAGGAAAATCACTGTTTTTGTCAAGGATGGTTGTGTATGTGTTTAAAATAAAACCTGTGGTGCACATTTCTACCCAGGTTTTGCTAGAGCAGTGTGAGATGATGAAGGTGTATTTTTGCTGCTTTACGAGCAGAATAAGGGTAACTGCATGTAACAATCATCAGATAGTACTCTTTCCCCTGCCGTCTCCTCATCCTGCACCCCCTAAAAAAGTACCAAACATTTGCATTCTCAGAACATCAAACAAAAATGCCCTGGTGGCAAAGCTATCACCATTTAATGTCTTCTCTCAGTCTTGCACCAAAGTCTCTGGTCTGTTTACTAACAGAGGCAAAAGGCATGTCTTAGGAACTGTTTCTGTTTCTGTAAGGTACATGAATGGTCAAACACCAGTCTAGAGCATCTTATTGTCAACAGCAAAATAATATTTTGCCCACCCTGTTTGTGACATTGAGTTGTGACTTCTATATTCAATAGATTTTTGTAAATGTTAAAACATCTATATTTAAATGTTAAAACACTAAATATAGAGAGGGGCTTTATTTCAATCATAGAGCAACAACAAAAATAATGCTTATAGCTAAACTGCCTGTTCTAGAAAGCATCTGCTTTTTCATGTTATTCCTAAATCCTCTTGTCATACTTTTGTCATTGAACAATGCTCTCCCTCTCGTCTTCCATCCTCATTCAGAATTTTTAGAAGACCACAATCGTGGAGATACACTACCCAGTATTGTTTGATACATTTTTATTTGATAAACATTCAGTGCAGGAAACTGTGATTTGCTATATGTTTATGTATATAATCTTATTCTGTAGTCATCAGAATGTTAATGTAAGGTACATTTGATTTTTATTTTTTACATGTGTAGTTTTCTTTCTTCACAGTCAAAGCATTTATATTATTGGGGGTGGGGGCAGGGAATTAAGTTGGTGGGCTCGAAAATCCATTCATATGTATCTGTCTACAAATGTCTGGGGATAATTTAAATTTGAAACCTAAGTTATATATAGTTTGGCAATGCTCTTCTTCAATATTTACAATAATAGGATGATCTACAAGAAAATAAGTTTCTTTTTGCAAATTTTTATCATACTAAAGTTGTTCTTTTAATTTAGCATATCTAAAATAGGATTTAGTTCAGTTTAGCTCACACAGGTGTTTGCTGACATTCATTGGCCATTTAATACAGTGTTGAGTGGTTCTCTGTAAAAGTATAAGTGCTAACACTACGAAGAAATGCACACGATCATTCTTGCTCACTTCTATAACAAACTTACATAAAATGGATTTAAAAATTCCTACTCACAGCCTAAAACTTCTGGAGTTCACTACCTTTTTTTCAAATCATAGTAAGATCACTTGTGTATTTTATATTTTAGTAAAGCCAATTATGAAGTACAAGTATCATACACGTACTTTTGAGCTACTATTATTTGAAAAAAATCTGCCAAATAGCATCTTTAGGATATATTTACATTTTCACTCATCTAAAAAGTATACAAAAATAAAAAGTGGAAAAAGGTATCTTCTGAATGTTCAAGAGCATCCTATAGTGCCAAATAATAAAGCACCATTTTTTTCTTCATAACCAGGATTAAAATTCATATATACTGCAGGGCAGACATACATATGATAGCTTGTGCTGATTAATTTAACCCCATTTGTAAACAGATGAAAATTTTATTTTCTTATTTCATTTATAAGATGGCTCAATGTATTGGGAGGCTTCTTTTTTATTACAGAAAGTGTATATTGGTATATAATAAATGAACTTTTCAAATGACTATGATGTGATTTTTGATCTATTGTTAAAGAATGTTGTGTTATTTGTCCATGAAACAAAATTTAAAATCCAAATACTGTCTTTCTTATATTGGTTTATGTTCCATTTTCATTGTTACCTTTGACACATAACTAACATCTATAGCCATCATCCTGAAAATAATTGCCATCTTATTTTGGCAAAATAGATATTTAATCCTAAATTATTATGATGATTATAATTTTGGCATCACATATATACCACCTAGAATGAATGTGGAAGAAATGAGTCTTTTATGGTTAGTTTGAAAGAATCCATTGAAGATAGAAAATGAGAGAATAGAAGAAACCTGAGAATAGTAAAATAAAGAGCAGAGAAAATATGGGGGCAGGGAAAACATGTGAGTGCTAAGGATTGATTATGAATGAACGATTAGGGGGATTGACGGATCACAGGGTAAGTATATGCTTAACTTTATAAGAAACTTCCACATAGTTTTCCACAGTGTTTCTACCATTTTCATTTCCACCCGTACTACCTACAACTTCCACTGACTCCACAGCCCTGCCAACATTTGGTGTTGTCTTTTGCATTTTAGCCTTTCTAGTGGGTCTGAAATGGTAACTCATTGTGATTTTCATTTCTGCTTCTGTGACAACTAATGTTGAAAACTTTTCAAGTGTTTAATGGTCACTCATATATCTTCTTTTGTGAAGTGTGTATTCAAATCTTTTGCCCATTTTTAAAATTTAGGTTATGTGTTTTTATTGGGTATTTGTAGAAGCTCTTTAAATATGGATCCATGTCCAGATTGCCAATATATTTTCCCAGTCTATGGTATGGTTGCTTATTTTCCTAAAGGTGTCTTAATTACATCTTTCTGGGGCCAGGTCACCATAGCTCAAAGTTTTGCAATTTATGTCTTAATGAGATAAAATTAATCAGAGTGGTATAGTCAAAATTAAATGTTTTGATGTCCTGGGCCCATATAGGTAGGACTGGATCATCTAACCAAGATGCAAAAAAAAAAAACAAAAAAACAAAAATAGTACTTGGAAAAACTTATTTTAAATTAAACATCTTTATAAAGGCAAACTAGATCAGCATACATTAAAACTAGCCACAAGGCAAAAACTATACCAAGAAAAAAATGACAGAAATTTTAAAAAGAAGCCTCAGAAGCCTCTTGACATGGTATGGATCTGTGTCCCCACCAAATCTCATGTAGAATTGTAATCTCTAATGTTGGAAGTGGGGCCTGGTGGGAGGTGATTGGATCATGGGGGTGGTTTTGGTTTAACACCATCCCTTTTGGTACTGTCATAGTGAAAGTGAATGAGTGATCTCAAAATCTAGTTGTTTAAAAGTGTGTGGCATTTCCCACTTCTCTTTTCCTTCTGCTCTGGCCTTGTGAAGTGCCAGCTCCCTCTTCACCTTCCACTATGATTGTGAGTTTCCTGAGGCCTCCCCAGAAGCCAAGCAGATGCCAGCATCATAATTCCTGCACAGCCTGCAGAACCATTAACCAATTAAACCTCTTTTCTTTATAAATTATCCAGTCTCTGGTATTTCTTTATAGCAATATGAGAATAAACTAATACAACTCCTATCCTCCAAACTTAAATCCTAAACCTGTAATTTGTTGCACACCTGCCCTTAAAGATTGACTAAAGGAAGTTCTTCAAACACAAAGTAAATGATAAAAGGAGAAATGTTGGAGTATCAGGAAAGAAGAAGAAATGAAGGAAAGATAAGAAATATGGGACATATATAAGACTTTTCTGTTTTTAATGAGTTTTATAAATACATTTTTGATTGAAAAAAACACTGATACTCAAGACAAAGATTTTTTTTTAATGGGGAAGGTAAGGGACCTAAATAGAAGTAATGTGTCTACACTTCATTCAAGGTGGTTAAATGATACCAATAGACTGCAATAAGTCACGTATGTCTAATGTAATATACAAAACAACCACTATAAAAACTATACACAGATATACATTCAACAACACTATAAATCAATTAAGATGAATTTATTTAAGTATTTAAATATTTAAGTAACCCACCAGAAACCAAGAAAAGCAAAGCAGGAACAAGAACCAAAGAAAACAAATAATAAAATGGTTGGCCTAAGCACTAATATATCAATAATTACCTTATAAGCTAGTGGTTTGAATATACCCATCAACAGAGATTGGAGAGTGAATAAAAACCATGACCCAACTATATGCCACTTATAAGAAATTTACTTCTAGTTCAATGACATAGTTGGTTGAAAATAAAAGGATGGAAATAGATATACATACAAAAATTAATAATATAAAGAAGGAGTATCTATATTAATATATGGTAAAACAGGCTTTAGAGAAAATAAAATTACTACAGACAAGAGGTGTCCATTGTTCCTATCATGAACATAAGAATAAAGGGTCAATTAATCAGGAAGAGATAAGCCTAAGTGTGCACACACCAAGCAACAGGCTTCAAAACACATGAAGCAAAAACTGATAGAGTAGAAAGGAGAAGTAGATACATCTGCATTTAGTTGAGGACATCAACACCCACGTTTCAGAAACTAATAGAACTACTAGATAGAAAATTAGCAAAGATATAGAAGATATAAACAACACAATCAACCAAGTTCTAATTGATATATATATAGAACAGTCTGCCAGCAACAGTGGAAAACACAGTTTTTTCATATTCCCATGATAGATCATATTCTGGGACATAAAACAAACCTTACAAATTTAAAAACCTGAAATAATATAGAGTATATTTTCTGACCATAATGGAATCAATTAAAAATCAATAACAGGCAATAACAAAATCTCTAAATAAATGAAAATTAAACAACACACTTCAATATTACCCATGGGTCAAAAAAGAAGTATCAAATGACATTTTAAAATACATAGAGCTGAATGAAAATTTTAAAGTCACATATTAAAATATGGAGGATGCATTCAATGCAGTGCTAGGAGGAAAATTTATAGCACTAAATGCTTGTATTAGAAATGAGGAAAAGTTGACAGGGCGCAGTGGCTCACGCCTGCAATCCCAGCACCTTGGGAGGCTGAGGTGGGTGGATCACGAGGTCGGGAGATCAATACCATCCTGGCTAACACGGTGAAACTCCATCTCTACTAAAAATACAAAAAATTAGCCAAGCGTGGTGGTGGGCACCTGAAGTTCCAGCTACTCAGGAGGCTGAGGCAGGAGAATGGCTTGAGCACGGGAGGTGGAGCTTGCTGTGAGCCGAGATCACGCCACTGCACTCCAGCCTGGGCAACAGAGCAAGACTCTGTCTCCAAAAAAAAAAAAAAAAAAAGAAATGAGGAGAAGTCTCAAGCCAATAATCTAAGTTCCTATAGCAAGAAACTATGCTGATGGGTTGATGAAAGGGTAAAGCTGCTGCTAAGATAATAGAATTCCTCATCTTGCTGTGCAGAAAAAGGAAAAAATGAAATTGGATTATTTTACCAAATGATTATTTGCCAATGAAAAGTACTCATCACATGGATCATTTTCTATTTTAAAATGTGATAAAACAAAGTATTGTTTAGTGGAGCTTTGTCATTATTTTGGCTAGTTGTTTAGAATCAAGGGTTGACTAAATTATATTATTTTACTACTGACTCCAGCTCTACTGATGGGAGAGTAGAAAAGTCATGGACTGGCTGAGCGCGGTGGCTCATGCCTGTAATCCCAGCACTTTGGGAGGCCAAGGCACACAGATCATGAGGTCAGGAGATGGCTAACACAGTGAAACTCCGTCTCTACTAAAAATACAAAAAATTAGCCAGGCATGCTGGCACACACCTGTAGTCCCAGCTACTCCGGAGGCTGAGGCAGGAGAATCACTTGAATCTGGAGGTGGAGGTTGCAGTGAGCCGAGATCGCACCACTGCACTCCAGCCTGGGTGACAGAGCGAGATTCTGTCTCAAAAAAAAAAAAAAAAAAAAGAAAGAAGAAAAGAAAAAAAGAAAAAGAAAAACCAGGAATTGAGGCTCTGGAAGTCTGAGTGCTAGTCACCACCTCCTACCAGGTGATCCTGGGAAAGCCCTTCCCTCCATCCAATCTCTACCATCAGAAAACACCAAGGAACTGAACTGGATGATCCCAAGAGACTCTCTGGGTCAAAAAAGGAGGCTGCAGCTAGTGGGAAATTTATCAAGAGTTGTAAAACAGCTGGGTTCCTATGATATTTTAAAATATCACCTTGGCCAGGTGCAGGATTACAGGCTCTAGCCTGTAATCCAAGAACTTTGGGAGGCTGAGACAGGCAGATCATCTGAGGTCCGGAGTTTGAGACCAGCCTGGCCAACATGGCGAAACCCTGCCTCTACTAAAAATACAAAAATTAGCCAGGGGTGGTGGTGCACCTTTAATTCCAGCTACTCAGGAGGCTGAGGCATGAGAATCACTTGAATCCGGGAGGTGAGGTTGCAGTGAACTAACATTGTGCCACTGCACTCCACCCTGGGTGATACAGCAAGACTCTGTCTCAAGAAAAAAAAAAAAAAAACTCCCTGAAAGACAGATTGCCCCACAGATTGGGCAGAATCTTGCGTTAAAGCAGGGGGTCCAGATATGACCTACTGGTTTATACAACTCTTCACATTCCAGCCCCGTGTTTCTCTTACCAGTGATACATAGACTACTATGGACTGAATATTTGTGTTTCCCCCAAATTCATATGTGGAAGCACTAACCAACGATGTGATTGTATTAGTCCTTTTTCACACTACTAATAAAGACATACCAGGGACTGGGCAATTTACAAAAGGAAGAGGTTTAGTGGACTCACAGTTTCACATGGCTTGGGAGGTCTCACAGTCATGGTGGAAGGTGAAGGTCACCTCTCACATGGTGGCAGACAAGAGAAGAATGAAAACCAAGTGAAATTGGTTTCCCCTTAAAAAACCATCAGATCTCATGAGACTTATTCACTGTCATGAGAACAGTGTGGAGGAAACCACCCCCATGATTCAATTATCTCCACTGGGTCCCTTCCACAACATGAGGGAATTATGGGAGATAAAATTCAAAATGAGATTTGGATAGGGACACAGCCAAACCATACCATTCTGCCCCAACCCCTCCCAAATCTCATAACCTCACATTTAAAAACCAATCATGCCTTCCCAACAGTCCCACAAAGTCCTAACTCATTTCAGCATTAACTCAAAAGTGTGCAATCCCAAGACAGGGCAGGTCTCTTCCACCTATAAGCCTGTAAAATCAAAAGAAAGTTAGGTATTTCCTAGATACAATGGGGTTACAGGTATTGGGTAAACACAGCCATTCCAACTGGGAGAAATTGGCCAAAACAATGGGGTTACACCCATGCATGTCCAAAATCCAGGGGGGCAGTCAAATATTAAGGTTCCAAAATGATCTCCTTTGACTCCATGTCTCATATCTGGGTCATGCTGATGCAAGAGGTGAGTTCCCATGGTCTTGGACAGCTCCATCCCTGTGGCTTTGCAGGGTACAGCCTCCCTCCCAGTTGCTTTCATGGGCTGGTGTTAAGTGTCTGTGGCTTTTCCAGATGAACTGTGAAAGTTGTTGGTGCATCTACCATTCTGGGTTCTGGAGGATGGTGACCCTCTTCTTACAGCTCCACTCGGCAGTGCCCCAGTGGGGACTCTGTGTGGGGGCACCCACCCAACATTCTCCTTCTGGACTGCCCTAGCAGAGGTTCTCCATGAGTGCCCTGCCCCTGCAGCAAACTTCTGCCTGGACATCCAGGCATTTCCATACATCCTCTGAAATCTAGGCGGAAGTTCCCAAACCTCAGTTCTTGACTCTTGTACACCTGTAGACTAAACACCACATGGAAGCTGCCAAAGCTTGGAGCTTATACCCTCTGAAACCACGGCCTGAGCTGTACCTGGCCTCTTTTAGTCATGTCTGGAGCAGCTGGGACACAGGGCACTAAGACCCTAGACTGCACACAGAAGAGGGACACTGGACCTGGCCCATGAAACCATTTTTACCTTCTAGGCCTCTGGGCCTGTGATGGGAGGGGCTGCTGCAAAGTCTCTGACATGCCCTGGAGACATTTTCCCCATTGTCTTAGGGATTAACATTAGGCTCCTCATTACTTATGCAAATTTCTGCAGCTGGCTTGAATTTCTCCTCAGAAAATGGGATTTTCTTTTCTATTGCATTGCCAGGCTCCAAATTTTCCAAATTTTTATGCTCTGTTTCCCTTTTAAAACTGAATGCCTTTAACAGCACCCAAGTCACCTCTTGAATGCTTTGCTGCTTAGAAATTTTTTCTGCCAGAAACCCTAAATCATCTCTCTCAAGTTCAAAGTTCCACAAATCTCTAGGGCAGGAGCAAAATGCCACCAGTCTCTTTGCTAAAACATAACAAGAGTCACCTTTGCTCCAGTTCCCAAATTCCTCACCTCCATCTGAGACCACCTCTGCCTGGATTTCATTGTTCATATCGTTATCAGTATTTTGGTCGAAGCCACTCAACAAATCTCTAGGAAGTTCCAAACTTTTCCACATTTTCTTGTCTTCTTCTGAGCCCTCCAAAGAGTTTCAACCTCTGTTACCCAGTTCCAAAGTTGCTTGCATATTTTTGGGTATCTTTTCAGCAGTGCCCCACTCTACTGGTACTGATTTATTGTATTAATTTATTTTCACACTGCTAATAAAGACATACCCAAGATTGAGCAATTTACAAAAGAAAGAGGTTTAATCGATTCACAGTTCCACATAGCTGGGGAGGCCTCACAATCGTGGCAGAAGGTAAAAGTCACGTCTCACATGGTGGCCCACAAGAGAAGAATGAAAACCAAATAAAAAGGGTTTTTCATCATAAAACCATAAGATCTCATGAGACTTATTCACTACCATGAGAAAAGTATGGAAGAAACCACCCCACCGTGATTTGATTATCTCCCACTGGCTCCCTCCCACAACATGAGGGAATTATGGGAGCTACAATTCAAGATGAGATTTGGGTGGGGACACAGCCAAACCATAACAGTGATGGTATTTGAAAGCAGGGCTTTTGGAAGATAATTAGGTTTGGAGGAGGTCATGAGAGTAGGGCTCCTGTAATGAGAATAGTGTACTTATAAGAAGAGAAAGAGACCATAGCTCTCACTCTGCCATGTGAAGACAGTGAGAAGGTAGTCAACTGCATGCCAGGAAGAGGCTCTCACCAAACACCAAATCCACTGCTCCCTTGATCTCAGACTTCCTACCCTCTAGAACTGTGAGAAATAAATATCTGCTGTTCAATCCACCCAGTGTATAGTATTTTGTTATGGCAGCTGGAGTTGAATAAGACACCAGCATGCATGCACACACACACACACTCTCATTGTACTACATGCACATGTGCATAAACACACACACCATACACAGATAACATACTATACACACGTACACACAATTTCATGCATATATACACACCACACTACATACAAAGCCCATGTACACACACCCCTCCCCATCTACCTTCACACACACATATCACTCAGCACCATGCCCTTGATCCACATTGATTGGTCATTCTCCAGGTGTGAAAGGTCCTTTCTCGCCTTTCAGGCCTTGACACATGCTGTTGTCTACACATGGAATATTTCTCTGTGACTGTCTTCATCTGACTCATTCTTTCTCATCCTTCAGTTCTCATCTTAGATGGCCCTTCCTCCAGAAAGCCTTCCTGACATCTCCATTCTCCTACCTTAAATGGCTTAGATCCGATAGGGCCCTGTTGTTGGCTTGTACAATAGTTCCTGCTGATCTATGGTTCCACTTTCCATAGTTTCAGTTACCCACGGTCAACCACAGTCTGAAAATATTACATGCAATAATATATTTTGAGAGAGAGAAAGTCCACATTTATGTAACTTTATTACAGTATATTATTATAATTGTTCTATTATATTAAAAGATGTTAACCACTTACTATGCCTAATTTATAAATTAAATTTTACCATAGGTATGTATAGAAAAAAACATAGTGTTCATGGGGTTTAGTACTAGCCATGGTTTCAGGCATCCATTGGGGGTCTTGGAATACAGCCCCTGTCGATAAGAAAAAAGTACTGTTCATTTTTTTGTAGCTCCATTCAGTGATGTCATGTTGCTGCTTGAAATTGGTGGGAATCTTTACACCATGGAAATTGACAAACACTATAAATCAGGAGCTTTTTTCTTTTTTTTTCCTTTTTTAATTTTTTTTTTGGTAGAGCCAGTAATTAGACCAAGCATACCACTAATTAGACTCCGCATAGTCTTCCCATAGCACCTCATAATTTCTTTTTATTTATACCTAACATGTATTACCCATATTTTCTCCTTGTCTGTATAGCCCACCAGACCATAAGCTCTGTGAGGACAGATGCTGCCTATCTTGTTTTCTACTGGTACACCCAGTACTTTGCATAGCTCTCAGCTACATGGATCTCAACAAATATATTTGGATAGATTACTAAATGAATTCTTATTGTCTCTCTCCTTCTATTTGGTATCTGACATAGTCAATCTCCTAATTGTGGATCATAAAGCCATGGGAATGTGGTTACAGGACAGTTCTGTTCCAGGTAACAATGAACAAGTCATCAGAAGCTGAGACCCAAGCTCTGGAGCAACATCTGTGAATTAAGAGCTCAGTCCTTCCAGGGTGACATTACCCTTTTATCTCCAGCCAGCTTTTAAGAAGGTGGAGGAGGTGAAGCACTTAGAAAATGATGAGATGAGACTTAACAGCAAGACTCCAAGAAGCTCTTCCCCCACTTGCTGACGCCTGAACTTGCCTTAAAGAGCGATAGAGCATTTATTTCCATGATCAGAGAGAGATATCAAATGTAAATGTCTGTTAGGAGTGACATGTCTTGTTTTAAATCCACAATTCAAGTAAAGCATTCCTACAAAATCTTTCTTTAAAGCAAACTTTGATGGGAGATACAGAGGGAAGCAAAGGAGCCAAGAGCTGGAGGATGCCAATTGCCTAAAATGGGGGAAGGAAAATATAGTAGACAATTTCCTTTTTTTATTATTATTATACTTTAAGTTTTAGGGTACATGTGCACATTGTGCAGGTTTGTTACATATGTATACATGTGCCATGTTGGTGCGCTGCACCCACTAACTCGTCATTTAGCATTAGGTATATCTCCCAATGCTATCCCTCCCCTCTCCCACCACCCCACAACAGTCCCCAGAGTGTGATGTTCCCCTTCCTGTGTCCGTGTGATCTCATTGTTCAATTCCCACCTACGAGTGAGAATATGCGGTGTTTGGTTTTTTGTTCTTGCGATAATTTACTGAGAATGATGATTTCCAATTTCATCCATGTCCCTACAAAGGACAAGAACTCATCATTTTTTATGGCTGCATAGTATTCCATGGTGTATATGTGCCACATTTTCTTAATCCAGTCTATCATTGTTGGACATTTGGGTTGGTTCCAAGTCTTTGCTATTGTGAATAGTGCCGCAATAAACATACGTGTGCATGTGTCTTTATAGCAGCATGATTTATACTCCTTTGGGTATATACCCAGTAATGGGATGGCTGGGTCAAATGGTATTTCTAGTTCTAGATCCCTGAGGAATCGCCACACTGACTTCCACAATGGTTGAACTAGTTTACAGTCTCACCAATTTCCAAAAATGGTTGCCATCAATTCCACCACCCCACAGCAGGTGCATGCCACACCTTCTGCTCCTCCCATGAAGAGGGGAAGTCACCTTGCAGCTGGACTGACCTTAACTTGCTTTGACCAATAGAATGTATTCAAAGTGGCCCTGGGTCAGTTCTGGGCATTTAAGAGGCTGCTTCCCTTTCACACTTTCTGGGAAAGCCACTACTAAGAGTTTGCTGTGCATCCTTCCAGACCTCTTTTTATATGTTCATATCATAGATTAAAAATACAATTGTTTTATGTCGTGTTTACTTTAAAATTTTTCATTTGTATATATTTAGGAGGTCCAAGTGCAGATTTCTGACATGCATATATTGCATCATGATGAACTCTGGACTTTTAGTGTACCCATCATCTGAAGAGGGAACATTGTACCCAATAGGTAATTTTTCAGTCCTCACTCTCCTCCCACGTTTTGTAGTCTTCAATGTCTGTTATCCCACTCTGTATGTCCACGTGTACCTATTGTTTATTTCCCACTTATAAGTGAGACCATATGGTATTTGACTTTGTTTCTGGGTTATTTCACTGAGGATAATGACCTCCAGTTCCATTTACATTGCTGCAAAAGACTGGTTTCTGTTTTATGATATTTTATAACATAAATTTATATACTGTATCTATTTTATAACTTTCTTTTTCTTATTCAGTAGTAATTTTTGGAGATTTAAGTCCATTTATAGTATACAGGTGTAATTTATTGCTTTAACTACTGTAATTCTAGTGTATAAATTTATCACATTTTATTTAACTATTCCTCAAGTAATGATCATTCATTATTCATAATTTTTTTATTATTACAAAAATACTACATGGAGTTATGCAGATCATGACACATCTCCACATATGCATATGCAAGTGTTTCTCCAGCTGGATCATATAGCATGCACATCTTTAACTTAATAGAAACTGCCAAATTATTCTAAAAAAATAAATGCATCAATTTATTCGTTTACCAGCAGTATATAAGAGTTGTTATTTTCACACAATTTTATAACTCCTCAATATTATTATTATTTAATATTTGCCTTTATGATGGCTAGATACAGTATCTCATTGTTTTAATTTGCATAAAGCTGATTACATATTTAGCAATATATTTACAGCCACTGTTTAATCATTGAAAGTGCTTGTTTATATTCTTTGACCATTTTTTCTGTTAGAATGTTTCTTTTCCTCTTTTTTTACATAAATCTGCATTACCAATTTGGTATAGACACTGTGCTAATATAAATTTTAAATTACCTAAAATAAGTCTTCTGATTTCAAGCAGAGAGAGCAGTTTAGTCACAGGGAGTAACTGAGATATATATATCAATAAAGCAAATATTCGTAATAATGAGAAGATGGGAGAATAGAAAACCACTTACACAAGACTATTCTGACATAAAATTTTATTTGAAAAAATAGTTTGTCCTAAGGTGTTTAAAAATGATAGCTTTATTTAGGGAAAATTCTCTTGCCCAAATAAAGTTATAGTTTAAGAAAAATTGATTTGAGTGTCCTGTTTTTGTTTCCAGGTTCTTCCATCAAAAGATGGCATTAGTATTCCATAATTTTCATGCTTTCTTAGTTCATTTAAAATTTTGATATGTTATAATCTCCTTAATACTAAGTATGGTGGTACTACTCTGCAATGGGAAACGCACTTAGCACAGAATTAAGTATTATCATGCAACGCAGAGTTTTTTTAAATTTAGCTTTCAGCAAATTAGGTGACTAGAGATATTTAAAAAATAAAAAAAAAGCATGTCAAGGTCAGGCATGGTGGCTTATGCCTGTAATCCCAGCACTTTGGAAGGCCTAGGTGGGCAGATCACTTGAGCTCAGGGGTTTGAGATCAGCTTGGGTTAACATAGCAAGACCTCGTCTCTACTAAAAATAAAGAAAAATTAGCCAGGCATTGTGGTGCATGCCAATAGTCCCAGCTACTCAGGAGGTTGAATGAGGCTGGAGTATTGCTTGAGCCCTGGAATTGGAGGCTGCAGTGAGCTATGATAGTGCACTGCACTCCAGCCTGGGTGACAGAGAAAGACCCTGACTCAAAAAAAAAAAATCATTTTCCAAACATTCCTTCATTCCTTGGAAAATTTTGTAGGAACATGATCTACCAATCAAACATATTGGTGAATGCCTAAATGTGCCCTCCTCACCATTACAGACATTGCTGACCTACTGCACCGGCAACAGCATTTGCTTACACATTTGGATCACTCTTGCACCCACTTGCCCCTTCAGAAGCCCCAAAGTTTCAAGCTCTCAGCCATTCTTCCTGCTATGAAAACCTGCTATTAGAATAAGGTCTTATATCACGCATTTATATCTACGACTGAATATAAGCCAAATGTTATCTTCTTCCTGGAGTATTTACATAGAAAACTTCTCTCAAACTGAGATTTAAAGCTCTGATTATTAATTGTGGGAAAAAACCACATAGTATAAAGATTACCATCTTAACCACTTTTTATGTGTACAGTAGTGTTAACCATAAGCACCTTATTGTGCAACAGATCTCCAGAACTTTTTCATCTTGCAAAGCTGAAACTCTATACCCATTGAACAATTCCCCCTTTCTTTCTTCTATCTCCAGCCCCTGGCAACCACCATTCTACTTTTTGCTTCTATGAATTTGGTTACTTTTCATACCTTATATAAATAGAATCATGCAGTGTTTGTCTTTTTGTGACTGGCCTATTTCACTTTCCATAATGTCCTCAAGGTTTATCATTTTTGTGACTGGCCTATTGCACTTTGCATAATGTCCTCAAGGTTTATCCATGTTGTAGCATATGACAGGATGTCCTTTTATAAGGCTGAATAACATTCCATTATATGTATGTATATACCACATTTTCTTTATCCATTAACTCATCTGTGCACATTTAGGTTACTTCTACCTCTTGGCTATTGTGAATAATATTACAATGGACATGGGTGTGCAAATATGTCTTTGAGATCTTATTTTCAATACTTTTGGATGTATATGCAGAAGTGGGATTGCTGAGTCATATGGTAATTCTATTTTTAATTTTTTAAGGAAACTTCACACTGTTTTTCATAGTGCCTGCACAATTTTACATTCTGACCAACTAGAATGTTTCTTACCTATTCATACTTTTATATATCCTGGATAATAATTGCCTGTCATATATGACAAATACTTTCTTAAAGCCTGTCCCTGGATTTTTAGCATCTTTTAAAATGTCTTTTTTTCATACAGTAGCTTTTTATTTTGGTGTGGTCTAATTCATCATTTTTCTACTTTAATTTTTCTTCCAAGCCCAAGGAAATAAATACATTGTTTTAAACTTTAAAAAAAATTTAGGACTTTATCTGTAATTTATTTTTGAATATGGTATCAAGATTGAGCATACTTTTTTTCCTCATAGGTAATCAGTTGTTTTTTCTCTGACTTGAAAATGCCAATTCTGCCATACAAAACTCTTACATGTAGCAAATTCTTCTTCTACCATATTACCTTGGCTTTTACCTCCCAAATCTGAGTGGAAATAACACAATATTTTCCCCTATTATTCAGCAAGCATGTAATTGAATGTTTTGAGTGAACAAAGTTAATCATGGTCACAATTGAGTTGGAGAAGGAATTGTGGAATAAATGGAGAGCACAGAGCTTTACTTTGAAGAGATTGCCATCTACTCAGGGAATACAAAGCACACACAGATCATTACTTAATAGCACTAAAGAGTAACAAGATAAGCAATGTAAGGTGTAGATAAGCATAGAAGTGCTGTGGGGCCCACTCTCAACCAGAGGTTACTTCCTGGGAAACTGAACCAATCACTTCCCTCCCTCCCTCCCTCCCTCCCTCCCTCCCTCCTTTCCTTCCTTCCTTCCTTCCTTCCTTCCTTCCTTCCTTCCTTCCTTCCTTCCTTCCTTCCTTCTTTCCTTCCTTCCCTCCTTCCCGGGAAAGTGAACCAATCCCTTCCTTCCTTCCTTCCTTCTTTCCTTCCTTCTTTTCATTTGGTTTTTGAACTGTAACTGTTTTTATTGTGAGTAATGGGAATTGAGTATACCATTTTCCCTCTGGCTTGTCAGCACTACATCGTATATATATATATGCACATAATATATATATACACACACATACATACATGTACACTATATATAATATATACATACATATATAAATAATATATACATATATGTTTACTTATATATACACAATTTTTATATATATTTGTATATATTTTTAATATATTTTTATAAATATGTATAAATATATTTGTTTTTATATATTTATTGTTTTTATTTTAATAAGTAGCAAATAGTAACTTAAGATCATTTGGATTCTTATTTCTTAAACCACTAGAGAGGCTAAACATTTTAAAGCTATATTTGTTTGCTGTTTGTGTTTTCTTTCTGTAAATTATATTATGACTGCTGTGTCTTTGTTTATTGAGACTCAGATTTCAATCCTTCACCAGATGAAGTTTTGCACAGTTCCAAAACTGATTTCATTATCTCCTCAATTCTCAATTTATTCCAGTGAGATAATTATTATTTAATTTTACTATATCAGCTCCATGTTGTTCTCCACCCAAATCACTCCCTACCACATGGATTTTGCCAGAATTGTTTTTGACAGTTGCAGTCCATTTTGACACTTGTCATTCATACTTACCTATATATATTCTTTTTAAAATTTGTTTCAATTTTTATTTTAGATTCAGAGCATACATGTACAGGTTTGTTACATGGGTATTTTGTGTGAGATGGTTTGTGGTACAAATGATCCCATCACCAAGGTAGTCAGCATATACGTGATAGGTAGTTTTTTAGCCTTTGCCCCTTGTTCTTTCTCCCCCTTCTAGTTGTCCCCAGTGTCTATTGTTCCCATCTTTATGTTTATGAATGACCAATATTTAGCTCCCACTTGTAAGTGAGAACACAATGTATTTGGTTTTCTACTCCCGGGTTAATTTGGTTAGGATAATAGCCTTCAGCTGCATCCATATTGCTGGAAAGAACATGATTTTGTTCCTTTTTATGGCTCTGTAGCATTCCACAGTGCATATGTAACACATTTTTAAAGGCCATTTGACTTTTATTTTTAGTTTTTAGAAGAATGGAAACAAAATGGTCAATTATTGTGGATTACCTTAAGAGTATTCTCATAGGTAGATGAAAGAATTGACCTACCAGATAGGGTTAATTATATTCACCCATTAAATGTTGGACAAACTCTACCAAATACAATTTTAGCTGCAGTATAATTTGTGCCAAACTGTTCTTTTTTTAAACTTTTATTTTAGGTTCAGGGGTACATGTGCAGGTTTGTTATATGGATAAACTCATGAGACGGGCAGGAGAGGTTGTTATACGGATTATTTCATCACCAGTTACTAAGTTTAGTACTCAATAGTCACCTTTTCTGCTCTTCTCCCTCCTCCCACCCTTCACCCTCAAGGAGACCTTAGTGTCTGTTGTTTCCTTCTTTGTATTCATGAATTCTTATCATTTAGCTCCCACTTTTAAGTAAGAACATGTGGTATTTAGTTTTCTGTTCCTTCGTTAGTTTGTTAAGGATAATAGGCTCCAGATCCATCCATGTTCCCAGAAAAGACACGATCTCATTCTTTTTTATGACTGCGTAGTATTCCACGTTGTATATGTACCACATTTTCATTATCCAATCTGTCATTGATTAGTATTTAGGTTGATTTCATGTCTTTGCTATTGTGAATAGTGCTATAGTGAATATTTGCATCTATGTGTTTTTATGGTATTTATATTCCTTTGGGTATATATCCAGTAATGGAATTGCTGGGTCAAATGGTGGTTCTGCTTTTAGCTCTTTGAGGAATTGCACACTGCTTTCCACAATGGCTGAACTAATTTACACTCCCAACAACAGTGTATAACTGTTCCCTTTTCTCCACAACCTCACCAGTATCTGCTATTTTTTGACTTTTTAATAGTAGCCATTCTGACTGGTGTGAGATGGTTTTGATGTGCATTTCTCTAATGATCAATGATAATGAGCTTTTTTTCATATACTTGGCCACATGTATGTCTTCTTTTGAGAAGTGTCTGTTCATTTCCTTTGCCCACTTTTGAATGTGGTTGTTTTTCTCTTGTACATTTGTTTAAGTTCCTTACAGATGCTGTATATTAGACTTTTGTCAGATGCATAGTTTGTAAATATCTTCTCCCATCTATAGGTTGTCTATTTACTCTGTTGACAGTTTCTTTTGCTGTACTGATGTTCTTAAGTTTAATTAGAGCCCACTTGTCCATTTTTGCTCTTGTTGCTATATCTGTTGGCATCTCTGTCATGAAATCATTGCCCATTCCTATGTCCAGGATGGTGTTGCCTAGGTTATCTTCAAGGGCTTTTATAGTTTTGGGCTTTATGTTTAAGTCTTTAATCCATTCTGAGTTATTTTTTCTATGTGATGTAAGGGAAAGGTCTGGTTTCAATCTTCTGCACGTGGCTAGCCAGTGATCCCAGGACCATTTATTGAATAGGGAATCTTTTCCCCATTGCTTTTTTTTGTCAGCATTGTTGAAGAGCAGATGGTTGTAGGCATGCAGCCTTATTTATGGGTTCTCTATTCTATTCCATTGGTTTATGTGCCTGTTTTTGTACCAGTACCATGCATTTTTGTTACTATAGCCTTATAGCATAGTTTGAAGTTGGATAACATGATGCCTCCAGCTTTGTTCTTTTTTGCTTAGGATTGCCTTGGGTATTCAGACTCATTTTTGGTTCTACATGAATTTTAAAATAGCTTTTTTTCTGGTTAGGTGAAGAATGTCATTGGTAGTTTGATAGGAATAACAAAATAGAAAATTGCTTTGGGCACTATAGCCATTTTCATGATATTGATTCTTCCTATCCACAAGCATGGAATGTTTTTCCATTTGTTTGTGTCATCTCTGACTTTTTGAGCAGTGTTTTGTAATTTTCATTGTACAGATCCTCCTTGGTTAGCTATATTCCTAGGTATTTTACTTCTGTTGTGGCAATTGTGAATGGGATTGCCTTCCTGATTTGGCTCTCACCTTGGCTATTGTTGGTGTATAGAAATGCCGGTTATTTTTGTACATTGATTTTGTATTCTGAAACTTTGCTGAAGTTGTTTGTCAGCTGAAGGAGCTTTTGGACTGAGACTATGGGGTTTTCTAGTATAGAATCATGTCATCTGTAGACAGGAATAGTTTGACTTCCTCTCTTCCTATTTGGATGCCCTTTATTTTTCTCTTGCCTGATTGCTCTGGCAAGGACTTCCAACACTATGTTGAATAGGAGTAGTGAGAGAGGGCAACCTCGTCTTGTGCTGGTTTTCAAGGGGAATGCTTTCATCTTTTGTTCATTCAGTATGATGTTGGCTGTGGATTTGTTTTGAGGTATGTTCCTTCAATACCTAGTTTATTGAGAGTTTTTAACATGAAGGAATGTTGAATTTTATCAGAAGACTTTTCTGCATCTATTGAGAAAATCATGTTTTTTTTGTCTTTAGTTCTTTTTATGTGATGAATCACTTTTACTGATTTGCATATGTTGAACCAACATTGCATCCTGGGGATGAAGCCTAGTTGATTGTGGTATTTTGATTCAGGTATTTTGTTGAAGATTTTTGCATCAAAGTTAATCTGGGATATTGGCCTAAAATTTTCTTTTTTTTATTGCCTCTGCCAGGTTTTTTTTTATTATTATACTTTAAGTTTTAGGGTACATGTGCACAACGTGCAGGTTAGTTACATATGTATACATGTGCCATGTTGGTGTGCTGCACCCATTAACTCGTCATTTAACATTAGGTATATCTCCTAATGCTATCCCTCCCCACTCCATTTTTGTATCAGGATAATCCTGGCCTCATAGAATGAGTTGTGGGGGAGTGCCTCCTCCTCAATTTTTTTGGAATAGTTTCAGTAGGAATGGGACAAGCTCTTTTTTGTACATCTGGTGGAATTTGGCTGTGAATCCATCCGGTCCTGGGCACTTATTTTGGTTGGTAGGCTATTTATTACTGATTCAATTTCAGAGCTCATTATTGGTCTCTTCAGGAAATGAATTTCTTCCTGATTCAGTCTTGGGAGGCTGTATGTGTCCAGGAATTTATCCATCTCTTCTAGGTTTTCTAGTTTGTGTGCATAGGCACATTTTCTTTATCCAATCCACTGTTGATGAGCACCTAGGCTGACTCCATGTCCTTACTCTTGTGAATAGTACTGCAAGGAACATATGAATGCAAGTGTCTTTTTGGTAGAATTATTTATTTTTCTTCAGGTATATACCCAGTAAGGGGATTACTGGGTCAAATGGTAGTTCTGCTTTAAATTCTTTGAGAAATCTCCAAACTACTGTTCACAGTGGCTGAACTAATTTACATTCACACCAACAACGTATAAGCATTCCCTTTTCTCTGCAGCCTCACCAGCATCTGCTATTTTTTGAATTTTTAATAATAGCCATTCTGACTGATGGCCATTAAGATGACAGGTCATTGTGGGTTTTATTTACATTTCTCTGATGATTAGCGATTTTTTTTTTTGAGAAGGAGTCTTGCGCTTTTGCCCAGGCTGGAGTACAATGGCGGGATCTCGGCTCACTGCAACCTCTGCCTCCTGGGTTCAAGTGATTCTCCTGCCTCAGCCTCCTGAGTAGCTGGGATTACAGGCACCTGCCACCATGCCAGCTAATTTTTGTATTGTTAGTAGAGATGGGGTTTTGCCGAGTTGGCTAGGCTGGTCTCGAATTTCTGGCCTCATGCATTCTGCCCACCTCGGCCTCCCCAAAGTGCTGGGATTACAGGCGTGATCTGCCGGGCCCGGCCGATTTTTATATATTTTTAAATATGTTTGTTGGGCACATGCATGTCTTCTTTTGAGAAGTGTCCAATCATTTCTTTTGCTCATTTCTTTTAATAGTGTTATTTGGTTTTTGCTTTTTGAATTGTTAAAGTTCCTTACAGATTCTGGATATTAGACCTTTGTCAGATACATGGTTTGTGAATATTTTTTCCCATTCTGTAAGTTGGCTTTACTCTGTTGACAGTTTATTTTGGTGTGCAGAAGCTGTTTAGTTTAATTAGGTCTTACTTGTCAATTTTTGGTTTTGTTGCAATTGCTTTTGGGTACTTAGCCATAAATTCTTTTAGAAGGTTGATGTCCACAATGGTATTTCCTAGGTTTTCTTTTAGGGTTCTAACAGGTGAGGTCTTAGGTTTAAATATTTAATCCTTCTTGAGTTAATTGGTATATATGGTGAGAGGTAGGTGTCCAGTTTTATTCTTCTGCATATGCCTAGCCACCTGTCTCTGCACCATTTATTAAACAAGGAGTCCCTTATCCACTGCTTATTTTTGTCAGTTTGTCAAAGATCAGATAGTTATAGGCATGTAGCTTACTTCTGGGTCCTCTATTCTGTCTATTGGTCTGTGTTTCTGTTTTTGCACCAGTACCAGGCTATTATGGTTATTGCAGCCTTGTAGTATAGTTTGAAGCCAGGTAATGTGATGACTTCAGCTTTGTTCTTTTTGCTTAGGATTGCTTTGGTTAATCAGGCTATTCTTTAGTTTCATATGACTTCAATTTTTTCTAATCTGTGAAAAATCATGTTGGTAGTTTGATAGGAATCATGTTGAATCTGTAGATTGCTCTGGGCAGTATAGTCATTTTAACAATATTGATTCTTCTGATCCATGAGCATGAAATGTTTTTCTATTTGTATGCGTCATTCATTATTTCTTTCAGCAGTGTTTCATATGTAGTTCTCATAGAGCTCTTTCACCTCCTTGGTTAGATGTATTTCTAGGTATTGTATTTTTGTGTGTGTATTTCTATGTGTTTTATTTTATTGTCAATTGGATTGTGTTTCTTGATTTGGCTCTCAGCTTGAATTTTATTGGTATATAGAAATGCTATTGATTTTTGTACATTTATTTTTGTATCCTAAAACTTTGCTGAAGTCATTTATCAGTTCTAGGAGCCTTTTGGCTGAGTCTTCAGGGATTTCCAGGTATAGAATTATATCATCAGTGAAGAGAGATAATTTGACTTCTTCTTTTCCTATTTGGATGTCTTTTATTTCTTTCTCTTGCCTAATTGCTCTGGCTAGGACTTTCAATATTATGTTGAATAGGAGTGGTGAGAGTGGCCATCCTTATTCTCAGGGGTATACTTCCAGTTTCTGCCTGTTCAGTATGATGTTGGGTTTGGGTTTGTCATAGGTAGCCCTTATCATTTTGAAGTATGTATCTTTGATGCCTAGTTTGTTGAGGTTTTTATCATAAGGGGATGTTGGATTTTATCAAAAGATTTTTGTACATAAATTGAGATAATTATATGGTTTCTGTTTTTAATTCTGTTTGTGTGGTGAATCCCATTTATTGATATATGTATGCTGAACCAACCTTGCATCCCAGGAATGAAGCCTTCTTGATTATGGTCAATTACCTTATTGATGTGTTGCCAGATTCAGTTTGCTAGCATTTTGTTGAGGATTTTTGCATTTATGTTCATAAGGGATATCGGCCTGTGGTTTTCTTTTTTGTTGTGTCTTTGTTGGGTTTTGGTAGCAGGGTGGTTCTGGCTTCATAGAATGAGTCAGGAAGGAGTCCTTCCTTGTTGACTTTTTGGAATATTTTCAGCGGAATTAATTCAGCTCTTCTTTGTACATCTGGTAGAATTTGGCTGTGAATCCATCTGGTCTGGGGCTTTTTTGGTTTGGTATGCTTTTATGACTGATTCGATTTCAGAACTTGCTATTGGTCTGTTCAGAGTTTCAACTTCTTCCTGATTCAGTCTTGGGAGGTTGTGTGTTTCCAGGAATTTATCCATTACCTCTACATTTTCTAGTTGGTGTGTGTAGAGGTGTTCATAAAAAGCTCTGAGGATCTTATGTATTCTGTTTCACCTTTTTCGTTTCTGATTGTGGTTATTTGGATCTAACCTCTTTTTTCTTTGTTAATCTGGCTAGTGGTCTATCAATCTTATGTATCCTTTCAAAACACCAACTGTTGGTTTTATTGAGTCTCTAGATTTGCAGTGTCTCAATGTCATTCAATTCTATTCTGATTGTAGTTATTTCTTTTTTTCTTCTAGCTTTGGGGTTTGTTTGTTCTTGTTTCTTTCACTCCTCTAGGTGTGATGACAGATTCTTAATTTGAGATCTTTCTAACTTTTTGATGTAGGCATTTAGCAATATAAACTTTCCTCTTAACACTATTTTTGCTGCATCCCATAGACTTTGGTATGCTGTGTCTCTGTTTTCATTTACTTCAAAATTTTTTTAAATTTCTGCCTTAATTTCATTGTTTATCCAAAAGTCATTTAGGAGCAAGTTGTTTAATTTCCATATAATCAAGTGGTTTTGAGAGATCTGCTTGAAATTAGTTTCTATTTTTATTCCACTGTGGTCTAGGAATATGGTTGGTATGATTTTGATTGTTTTAAATTTATTGAGACTCACTTTATGGCCAAGCATGTGGTCAATCCTAGAGAATGTTCTGTATGCAGATGAGAAAAATGTGTATTCTGTGGTTGATGAAGTATTCTATGGAGGTGTATTAGGTCCAATTGTTCAAGTGTCAAATTTAAATCCAGAATTTCTTTGTTAGTTTTCTGCCTCAATGATCTAACACTGTCAATGAGGTGTTGAAGTCTCTACTATTACTGTGTGGTTATTGTATTATTGGGTGGTCTAAGTCTTTTTGTAGGTCTAGAGGAACATGTTTTATGAATCTGGGTCCTCCATTGTTGAGTACATATATATTTAGTATAGTTAAGTCTTCTTGTTGAATGAGGCTTCAACCTTTATCATTATGTAATGTCCTTCTTTGTCCTTTTACTATTGTGGGGTTAAAATCTGTTTTATTTGATATAAAAATAGTGACTCTTGCTCTTTTTTATTTTCCATTTGCATGATAGATCCTTCTCCAACCCTTTACTTTGAGCCTATGGTGTCATTACACTTGAAATTGGTCTCTCTTTTTTTAAATTATTATCATACTTTAAGTTCTAGGATACATGTGCACAACGTGCAGGTTTGTTACATAGGTATACATGTGCCATGTTTGTTTGCTGCACCCATTAACTCATCATTTACATTAGGTATTTCTCCTAATGCTATCCCTCCCCCAACCCCCCACCCCACGACAGGCCCCAGTGTGTGATGTTCTCCGTCCTGTGTCCAGGTGTTCGCGTTGTTCAATTCCCACCTATGAGTGAGAACATGCAGTGTTTGGTTTTTTGTCCTTGTGATAGTTTGCTCAGAATGATGGTTTCCAGCTTCATCCATGTCCCTTCAAAGGACATGAACTCATCCTTTTTTATGGCTGCATAGTATTCCATGGTGTATATGTGCCATATTTTCTTAATCCAGTCAATCATTGATGGATTTTTGGGTTGGTTCCAAGTCTTTGCTATTGTGAATAGTGCTGCAATAAACATACGTGTGCATGTGTCTTTATAGTAGCATGATTTATAATCCTTTGAGTACATACCCAATAATGGGATGGCTGGGTCAAATGGTATTTCTGGTTCTAGATTCCTTGAGGCATCACCACTCTGTCTTCCACAATGGTTGAACTAGTTTACATTCCCACCAACAGTGTAAAAGCATTCCTATTTCTCCACATCCTCTCCAGCACCTGTTGTTTCCTGAATTTTTAATGATTGCCATTCTAACTGGTATGAGATGGCATCACATTGCGGTTTTGATTTGCATTTCTCTGATGACCAGTGATGATGAGCATTTTTTCATGTGTCTGTTGGCTGCATAAATGTATTCTTTTCAAAATGTCTGTTCATATTCTTTGCCCACTTTTTGATGGGGTTGTTTGATTTTTGTCTTGCAAATTTGTTTAAGTTCTTTGTAGATTCTGGATATTAACCCTTTGTCAGATGGGTAGATTGCAAAAATTTTCTCCCATTCTGTAGGCTGCCTGTTCACTCTGATGGTAGTTTCTTTCACTGTGCAGAAGCTCTTTAGTTTAATTAGATCCCATTTGTCTATTTTGGCTTTTGTTGCAATTGCTTTTGGTGTTTTAGTCATGAAGTCCTTGCCCATGCCTATGTCCTGAATGGTATTGCCTAGGTTTTCTTCTAGGGTTTTTATGGTTTTAGGTCTAACATTTCAGTCTTTAATCCATCTTGAATTAATTTTTGTATAAGGTGTAAGGAAGGGATCCAGTTTCAGCTTTCTACATATGGCTAGCCAGTTTTCCCAGCACCATTTATTAAATAGGGAATCCTTTCCCCATTTCTTGTTTTTGTCAGCTTTGTCAACGATCAGATAGTTGTAGATGTGTGGTGTTATTTCTGAGGCCTCTGTTCTGTTCCATTGGTCTATGTCTCTGTTTTGGTACCAGTACCATGCTGTTTTGGTTACTGTAGCCTTGTAGTATAGTTTGAAGTCAGGTAGCGTGATGCCTCCAGCTTTGTTCTTTTGGCTTAGGATTGTCTTGGCAAGGCAGGCTCTTTTTTGGTTCCATATGAACTTTAAAGTAGTTTTTTCCAAATCTGTGAAGAAAGGCATTGGTAGCTTGATGGGGATGGCATTGAATCTATAAATTACCTTGGGCAGTATGGCCATTTTAACGATATTGATTCTTCCAACCCATGAGCAGGGAATGTTCTTCCATTTGTTTGTGTCCTCTTTTATTTTGTTGAGCAATGTTTTGTAGTTCTCCTTGAAGAGGTCCTTCACATCCCTTGTAAGTTGGATTCCTAGGTATTTTATTCTCTTTGTAGCAATTGTGAATGGGAGTTCACTCATGATTTGGCTCTCTGTTTGTCTGTTATTGGTGTATAAGAATGCTTGTGATTTTTGTACATTGATTTTGTATCCTGAGACTTTGCTGAAGTTGCCTATCAGCTTAAGGAGATTTTGGGCTGAGATGATGGGGTTTTCTAATATAGAATCATGTCATCTGCAAACAGGGACAATTTGACTTCCTCTTTTCCTAATTGAATGCCCTTTATTTCTTTCTCTTGCCTGATTGTCCTGGCCAGAACTTCCAACACTATGTTGAATAGGAGTGGTGAGAGAGGGCATCCCTGTCTTGTGCCAGTTTTCAAAGGGAATGCTTCCAGTTTTTCCCCATTCAGTATGATACTGGCTGTGGGTTTGTCATAAATAGCTCTTATTATTTTGAGATACGTTCCATCAATACCTAGTTTATAGAGAGTTTTTAGCCTGAAGGGCTGTTGAATTTTGCCAAAGGCCTGTTCTGCATCTATTTTGATAATCATGTGGTTTTTATCTTTGGTTCTGTTTATGTATTATGTATTATGTTTATTGATTTGTGTATGTTGAACCAGCCTTGCATCCCTGGGATGAAGACAACTTGATCTTGGTGGATAAGCTTTTTGATGTGCTGCTGGATTTGGTTTGCCAATATTTTATTGAGGATTTTCACATCGATGTTCATCAGGGATATTGGTCTAAAATTCTCTTTTTTTGTTGTATCTCTACCAGGCTTTGGTATCAGGATGATACTGGCCTCATAAAATGAGTTAGGGAGGATTCCCTCTTTTTCTATTGATTGGAGTAGTTTCAGAAGGAATGGTACCAGCTCCTCTTTGTACGTCTGGTAGAATTCGGCTGTGAATCCATCTGGTCCTGGACTTTGTTTTAGTTGGTAGGCTATTAATTCTTGCCTCAATTTCAGAGCCTGTTTTGGGTCTATTCAGCAATTCAACTTCTTCCTGGTTTAGACTTGGGAGGGTGTATATGTCCAGGAATTTATCCATTTCTTCTAGATTTTCTAGTTTATTTGCAATGAGTTGTTTATATTATTTTCTGATGGTAGTTTGTATTTCTGTACGATCGGTGGTCATATCCCTTTTATGATTTTTTATTGCATCTATTTGATTCTTCTCTCTTTTCTTCTTTATTAGTCTTGCTAGCAGTCTATCAATTTTGTTGATCTTTTCAAAAAAACAGCTCCTGGATTCATGGATTTTTTGAAGGGTTTTTTTGTATCTGTATCTCCTTCAGTTCTGCTCTGATCTTAGGTATTTCTTGCCTTCTGGTAGCTTTTGAATGTGTTTGCTCTTTCTTCTATAGTTCTTTTAATTGTGATATTAGGGTGTCAATTTTAGATCTTTCCTGCTTTCTCTTGGGGGCATTTAGTGCTATAAATTTCCCTCTACACACTGCTTTAAATGTATCCCAGAGATTCTGGTATGTTGTGTCTTCATTCTCATTGGTTTCAAAGAACATTTTTATTTCTGTCTTCATTTCATTGTCTACCCAGTAATCATTCAGAAGCAGGTTGTTCAGTTTCCATGTAGTTGTGTGGTTTAGAGTGAGTGTCTTAATCCTGAGTTCTAATTTGATTGCACTGTGGTCTGAGAGACAGTTTGTTATGATTTCTGTTCTGTTACATTTGCTGAGGAGTGCTTTACTTCCAACTATGTGGTCAATTGTGGAATAAGTGCAATGTGGTGCTGAAAAGAATGTATATTCTGTTGATTTGGGGTGGAGAGTACTGCAGATGTCTATTAGGTCAGCTTGGTGCAGAGCTGAGTTCAAGTCCTGGATATCCTTGTTAACCTTCTGTCTTGTTGATCTGTCTAATATTGATAGCTGGGTGTTAAAGTCTCCCATTATTATTGTGTGGGAGTCTAAGTCTCTTTTTAGGTCTCTAAGGACTTGCTTTGTGAATCTGAGTGCTCCTGTATTGGGTGCATATATGTTTAGGATAGTTAGCTCTTCTTGTTGAATTGATCCCTTTACCATTATGTAATGGCCTCTTTGTCTCTTTTGACCTTTGTTGGTTTAAGGTCTGTCTTATCAGAGACTGGGATTGCAAACCCTGCTTTTTTTTTGTTTTCCATTTGCTTGGTAGATCTTCCTCCATCCCTTTATTTTGAGCCTATGTGTGGCTCTGCACGTGAGATGGGTCTCCTGAATACAGCACATTGATGGGTCTTGACTCTTTATCCAATTTCCAGTCTGTGTCTTTTAATTAGGGCTTTCCATTTATATTTAAGGTTAAGATTGTTATGTGTGAATTTGATCCTGTCATTATGATGTTAGCTGGTTATTTTGCCCATTTGTTGATGCAGTTTCTTCCTAGCATCAATGGTCTGTACAATTTGGCATGTTTTTGCAGTGGCTGGTACCGGTTGTTTCTTTCCATGTTTAGTGCTTTCTTCAGGAGCTCTTGTAAGGCAGGCCTGGTGGTGACAAAATCTCTTAGCATTTGCTTGTCTGTAAAGAATTTTATTTCTTCTTCACTCATGAAGCTTAATTTGGCTGGAGATGAAATTCTGGGTTGAAAATTCTTTTCTTTAAGAATGTTGAATATTGGCTCCCACTCTCTTCTGGCTTGTAGGGTTTCTGCCAATAGATCCACTGTTAGTCTGATGGGCTTCTGTTTGTGGTTAACCCAATCTTTCTCTCTGGCTGCCCTTAGCATTTTTTCCTTCATTTCAACTTTGGTGAATCTGATAATTATGTGTCTTGGGGTTGCTGTTCTCGAGGAGTATCTTTGTGATGTTCTCTGTATTTCCTGGTTTTGAATGTTGGCCTGCCTTGCTAAGTTGGGGACGTTCTCCTGGATAATATCCTGAAGAGCATTTTCCAGCTTGGTTCCATTCTCCCCATCACTTTCAGGTACACCAATCAGACGTAGATTTGGTCTTTTCACATAGTCTTATATATCTTGGAGGCTTTGTTCATTTCTTTTTACTCTTTTTTCTCTAAACTTCTCTTCATTTCATTAATTTGACCTTCAATCACTGATACCCTTTCTTCCATTTGATCAAATCAGCTACTGAAGCTTGTACATGTTTCACATAGTTCTCGTGCCATGGTTTCCAGCTCCATCAGGTCATTTAAGTTCTTCTCTACAGTGTTTATTCTAGTTAGCCATTCATCTAATCTTTTTTCAAGGTTTTCAGCTTCCTTATGATGGGTTTGAACATCCTCTTTTATCTCGGAGAAGTTTGTTATTACCGACTTTCTGAAGCCTACTTCTGTCAACTCATCAAAGTCATTCTCCATCCTGCTTTGTTCCATTGCTGGCAAGGAGCTGCAATCCTTTGGAGGAGAAGGGGTGCTCTGGTTTTTAGAATTTTCAGCTTTTCTGCTCTGGTTTCTCCCCATCTTTGTGGTTTTATCTACCTTTGGTCTTTGATGATGGTGACCTACGGATGAGGTTTTGGTGTGGATATCCTTTTTGTTGATGTTGACGCAATTCCTTTCTGTTCATTAGTTTTCCTTCTAACAGTCAGGTCCCTCAGCTCCAGTTCTGTTGGAGTTTGCTGGAGGTCCTCTCCAGACCCTGTTTGCCTGGGTATCACCAGCATAGGCTGCAGAACAGCAAATATTGCAGGACAGCAAATATTGCTGCCTGATCCTTCCTCTGGAAGCTTCATCTCAGAGGGGCACCTGGCTGTATGAAGTTTCAGTTGGCCTCTACTGGGAGGTGTCTCCCAGTTAGGCTACATGGGGGTCAGGGACCCACTTGAGGGGGCAGTCTGTCCATTCTCAGAGCTCAAACACCTTGCTGGGAGAACCACTACTCTCTTCAGAGCTGTCAGACAGGGACGTTTAAGTCTGTAGAAGTTTCTTCTGCCTTTTATTCAGCTATGCCCTGCCCCCAGAGGTGGAGTCTACAGAGGCAGGCGGGCCTCGTTGAGTTGCGATGGGCTCCACCCACTTCGAGCTTCCTGGTGCTTTGTTTACCTAGGCAAGCCTCAGCAATGGCGGATACCCCTCCCCCAGCCAGGCTTGCTGCCTCACAGTTCGATCTCGGACTAGCAGTGAGCAAGGCACTTTGGTTGTGGGACCCACTGAGCCATGTGTGGGATATAATCTCCTGGTGTGCTGTATGCTAAGACCATTGGAAAAACATGGTGTTTAGGTGGCAGTGTCCTGATTTTCCCAGTACAGTCTGTCACAGCTTCCCTTAGCTAGGAAAGGAAACTCCCCTGACCCCTTGTGCTTCCCAGGTGAGGCAATGCCCCACCCCACCTCGGCTCACCCTCCATGGGCTGCACCCACTTTCTGACCAGTCCCAGTGAGATGAACCAGGTCCCTCAGTGGGAAATGCAGAAATCACCTGTCTTCTGCATTGATCACGCTGGGAGCTGCAGACCGAGCTGTTCCTATTTGGCCATCTTGGAACAGAACCTGAAATCGGTCTCTTGACAGCAGATGGATGGGTCTTTTTAAAATTCAATTTGCCATTCTATCTCTTTTAAGTGGGGCATTCAGACCATTTACATTCATAGTTAATATTGATATATGAGGTTTGAATCCTATCATGAAGTTGTTAGTTGGTTGCTTTGTACTTTCTACTGTGTGGTTGCTTTATAGAGTTTGTGAGCTATGTGCTTAGGTGAGTCTTGTGGTGGCATTCTTAGAACTCACCCCATCTCTACTAAAAATACAAAAATTAGCCGGGCATGGTGGCAGGCACCTATAGTCCAGCTACTCAGGAGGCTGAGGCAGGAGAATCGCTTGAACTCAGGAGGTGGAGATTGCAGTTAGCTGGGATCGTCCCACTGCACTCCACCCTGGGTGACAGAGCAAGACTCCGTCTCAGAAAAAAAAAAAAAAAAATCACTCGTAAGGCTGGTTTATTGGTTTAAAAATAATTAATTTCCTTAGCATTTACTTGTCTAGAAAAGATTTTATTTCTTTTTGCTGACAAAGCTTAGTTTGATGGAATATAAAATTCATGGTTGGAATTACTTTAAGAATGCCAAAAATAGGCCCCCAATCTCTCTCAGCTTATAAGGTTTCTGCTGAGAAGTCCAGTGTTAGCCTAATAGAGTTTCCCTTTAAAAGTCATCTGACCATTTTTTTCTAGCTGTCTTTAAGATTTTTTTTTTTACCATTGACCTCAGACAGTCTGGTGACCATATGCCTTTGTTATGCTCATTTTGTAAAGTATCTAGCAAGTGTTCTCTGGATTTCTTGTATCTGGATGTTTATCTCTCTGGCAAAAATACGGATATTTTCTAGAACTATTCCTTCAAATATGTTTCCATGTTGTTTACTTTTTCTCCTTGTCTCTCAGGAATGTCAATAATTCATACATTTGGCTACTTTACATAATTTTATATTACTTGAAGATTTTGCTCATTTTTAAATTTCTGTCTGTGTTAGTTTAAAAGATCAATCTTAAACTTTGAAATTATTTATTCTGCTTGGTCCAGTTTATTGATAAAGCTTTCAGTTGTATTTTGAAATTCCTTAAGTAAGTTTTTCAATTCCAGAAGCTCTGACTAATTTCTTTTTAAGATGTTTATCCCTTTTTTCATTTTCTGGATTGCTTTAGAAGTTTCTTTGTGTTGATTTTCAACCTCGTCTTGGATCTTGTTGTGCTTCCTTGCAATCCATGCTTTGAATTCTTTATCTGTCATTTCTGAGTTTCTATTTTGGTTATGGATTATCATTGGCTAGTTAGTGTGATCCTTTGGTGGTATCACAACATTCAGATTTTTTGTGATGCTGGAATTCTTACACTGATTTCTTGTCATCTGGAGATGCTGGCACTTCTAATTTTTGTAATTATTTTCATATGGACAAGATGTTTTTTCTTTCTTTTTTCCCATATAATATTTTTTTCTTTCTTTTTCCCCACTTCCCTAGGGGGTGTAACTGGAGAGAATTCTGGATACGGTCTTTTGGCTTTGTTTCTATAGCCCTATAAACCTCTATTAGCAAGTTTTATATTGGGCTATGCAGTTTGACCTAGAGGTCATAGATTATTCTTATAGGTAAGAGTTGGCTGCAGCCAATAGGGTTGGGTACATACTTGATCCTTCTTTATTGGAAGAAGTTCTCTGTTACCTCAGGCAATGGGCTGATCCTGGAGTGCACAGTGGTCTGAGCACCCTGCTCAGCCCAGGGGTGGGGGCAAGATGGATGGGGCTGAACCAGACAGAACCATCTATAGGTCCCCGATGGAAGTCACAAGCACTAGTACTGAAGGAGAATCCAGCGGGTGGCCACCAAGCACCCAGAGATGTGCCTAGGCATAAAGCTAGGAAAACTCCTTGGCCCCAATTGCTCTGCATGGGAAGTGAAGGTAGCCTAAACTCAAAATCCAGGAGAATGGGTACGTCAGATGTGTGGAGATTTTCCTGGGCATGAAGTGTAGGGGGCTCCTACACTACACCAAATTCTCTGCACAGGATGAGAGGGGTGCCTCAGGCTGTTAACTGGATAAACAGATGCCCTGAATGCCTGAAGATCTGCCTTGGTGTGGGGTGAGGATGGTTGTGCCTCAACACACTCTTTTTATCAGCTAGACACTGCCATGGAGGTTGTTTGTCCATATTCTTCTCCCTAAGATCTAGGATGTCCTTCATGATTCCAGCGGATTACTATTTTTTTTTTCTTGAATGAAAGCTCACAGAGTTGATCTTGATGCACTATTTTTCTGTTTCCAGGTGGCTGAAAAATGCTAAAAGCCTCTAATCCACCATCTTTGAAAAAAATGAAAAGTGAATCTTGAGTGATGTGGAGAAAGATGCAGCTTGGCTGAGAAGCGTAAGTCTGGGAGGTGGGTGAGGAAAGACAGGAATAGAGGGAATTTGTACATATATCTGCATAGAGGTAATAATTAGTAAAAAAATGTTAAAAATGAACATATTTGATCGACTAGAAAAGAAACAGTGTCGTGCAGAGGTTAAACATAAGGACTATAAACTGAAGTTGCAGGAGTTGGAATACTGATTCTGCCACTTACTGCCTTTGTAACTTTGGAAAACTTTCCTAAATTATCAAATTATCTATGCCTCAAATTCCTCAACTGTAAGTTCTAGCTAACAATACTTTTTGTAGATTACTGAGTCAATGCATGTGAAGTACTCAGCATGGTGCCTAGCACATACTAAACATATTGTAAAAAATGCTTACTGTGATGGTTAATAATGAGTGTCAACTTGATTGGATTGAAGGATGCAAAGTATTGATCCTGGGTGTGTCTTCGAGGGTGTTGCCAAAGGAGATTAACATTTGAGTCAGTGGACTGGGAAAGGTACACCCACCCTTAACTTGGGTGGGTACCATCAAATCAGCTACCTCCATGGCCAAAATATAAAGCAGGCAGAAAAATGTGAAAAGGCTAGACTGGCTTAGCCTCCCAGCCTACATCTTTCTCCTGTGCTGGATGCTTCCTGTACTTGAACATTGGACTCCAGGTTCTTCAGCTTTGGGACTCAGACTGGCTTCCTTGCTCCTCAGCTTGCAGATGACCTATTGTAGGACCTTGTGATCATGTGAGTTAATACTACTTAGTAAACTCTTATATATATAGGAGTTTATGTATACTATTAATTCTGTCCCTCTAGAGAACCCTGAATAATACAGATTTTGGTACCAAGAGTGGTTCTAGAGAAACAGAATATTAAGGATGGAGTTTTTTCATTGGTTTTGGGGTTTCTGGAGTTGGCTGCTTAATATGATTAGACCCAAAAATGCTAAGGACTCTACTTCTAATAGTATGGAGAACACTGATAGTCCTTGGTATGAACTGTTTAGAGAGTTATGCAAAATAAATGCATTTGACATGCCTGAATCACCACTCATGAGAGACAAGGAGTTTAGTTACTCTATACATAATGCCTTTGAATATATGTGGAGAACCAAGGAACATAATGAAGAAGAAAAGTTGGTTGGTTGCTCCTAAGTTCACTCAACAAAGTGATGAAAGAAAATGATGAATTCAGAGATTCTAACTGCTAGCTTCAGAAGCAGATACTTGAGATATGAGTCTTAAATCTACTAAGATTGCCCTGAGTGAGAGTCTTATCTGCTGTAGAGAAACAGCTGAAATTGTGGGGAAACAGACACAAGCTCTTATCATGTGAGTGGCTGACCTGCAATGAAAGATGCACGTACAGCCTCACCAGGTGTCTACTTTAAAGTGAGGGCATTGATTGGAAAAGAATGGGACCCTGAAACTTGGAATGGGGACATGTGGGAGGACCCTGATGAAGCTGGGGACACTGAGTTTGTGAACTCTGATTAACCTTTTTTACCAGAAGAAACGGCTTCCCCATCCCCAGTAGCAGCAACATCCTCTCCCTAACCCATGTTGCCATCAGCCTTTCCACCTTTGTATGAGGAGATAAACCCTGGGCTGCCTGAAGCAACAGTGATGGCCTTCCCTGTGGCAGTTGCCAGGCAAGATAATGTTGATTCTCCTCAGAAACCACCCCCCAACACCCCTGTTTGCTTCTAGGCCTATAACTAGACTAAAGTCCTGGAGGGCCCCTAGAGGTGAGGTTCAGAGTCTGACCCATGAGGAGGTGTGCTACATGCAAAAAGAACTGTTTGAGTTTTCTAACTTATATAAGCAGGAAACTGGAGAACAGGCATGGGAATGGATATTAAGGGTGTGAGATAATGGTGGAAGAAAAATAGAGTTGGATCAGGCTAAATGTATTGATTTGGGGTCACTAAGTAGAGACTCTGCATTTAACATTGCAGCATGGGGGGTTTAAAAAGGTTCTAATAGTTTATTTTCTTGGTTAGCTGTCATATGGATTAAAAGATGGCCCACTGTGAGTGAGCTGGAAATGCCTTATCTCCCTTGATTTAATGTAGAGGAAGGGATCCAAAGGCTTAGGGAGATTGGGATGGTGGAGTGAATCAGTCACTTTAGACCTACTCATCCCAGCTGGGAGGGTCTAGAAGATACACTCTTAACCAATGCTTTGCGAAATAGATTTGTGAGAGCAGCACCTGCATTTTTGAGGAGACCTGTAATTGCTCTTTTCCTTATGTCAGATCTAACACTGGGAACTAGTCACTGAACTATAAAATTTAAATACAATGGGAATAATTGAATCCAGAGGTGGCAGGGGCCAATTGGTGGCAGTCAACCTTCAAAGGTAAGGTGGGTGTAGCTACTGTAATGGACAGCACAGGCAAAGCAGCAATCGGAATAGTCTGACTCGTGTCAGACTACGGCATTGGTTAATTAATCATGGTGTTCCTAGAAGTGAAATTGATAGGAATCCTACTGCATTTCTTTTTTGAGATGGAGTCTCAGTGTGTCACCCAGCCTGGAGTGCAGTGGTGTGATCTGGGCTCACTGCAGCCTCTGCCTCCAAGGTTCAAGCAATTCGCCTGCCCCAGCCTCCTGAGTAGCTGGGACTACAGGTGCACAAACCACAACCACTTTTTTTTTTGTATTTTTTTCTTTTCTATTTTTTTATTATACTTTAAGTTTTAGGGTACATGTGCACAATGTGCAGGTTAGTTACATATGTATACATGTGCCATGTTGGTGTGCTGCACCCATCAACTTGTCATTTAACATTAGGTGTATCTCCTAATGCTATTCCTCCCCCCTCCCCCCACCCCACAACAGGTCCCAGTGTGTGATGTTCCCCTTCCCGTGTCCATGTGTTCTCATTGTTCAATGTTTTTGTATTTTTAATAGAGATGGGGTTTCACCATGTTGGCTAGGCTGGCTTCAAACTCCTGACCTCAGGTGATCTGCCCAACTGAGCCTCCCAAAGTGCTGAGATTACAGATGTGAGCCGCAGTTCCTGGCCCTGCATTCCTACTTAATTTATATAAGCAGAAAACTTCCAGGTCAAATGGACAAAAGACTAATTTGAATTATAAAAACAGAGAATCACAACCCCTCAATCAATTTCCAGACTTGAGCCAGTTTACAGACCCAGAACCCCTTGAATGAAGGGGAGGCCAGGTCCCCTTGAGGAAGGACCCCACTGCACAACCAACAATTTATGCCCTTAATCTTTCTCCTATCCTTCCCCAGAAGACCTCCAGCATTTTACCAGGGTACATGTGCACTGGGGAAAAGAAAATGATCAGACATTTCAGGGACTACTGGACACTGGCTCTGAGCTGACTTTGATTCCAGGGGACCCAAAATGTCATTGTGTTCCTCCAGTTAAGTAGGGGCTTATAGGGGGTCAAGCAATTAATAAACTTTTAGCTCAGGTTTGACTTACAGTGGGTCCAGTGGGTCCCTAGAATCATCCTGTGGTAATTTCCCCAGTGCCAGAATGCATAATTGGCATAGACATACTTAGCAGCTGGCAGAACGCCCACATTGACTCCATACTGGTAGAGTGAGGGTGATGATGGTGGAAAAGGCCAAATGGAAGCCATTAGAGCTGCCTCAACCTAGTAAATCAAAAACAATATTGCATCCCTAAAGGGACTGTGTAGATGAGTCCCACCATCAAGGACTTGAAAGATGCAGGGGTGGTGATTCCCACCACATCCCCATTCAATTCTCCCATTTGGCCTGTGCAGAAGACAGATGGGTCTTGGAGAATGCCTGTGGATTATCATAAGCTTAACTATGTGGTGACTCCAATTACAGCTGCTGTACCAGATGTGGTTTCATTGCTTGAGCAAATTAACATATCTCCTGGTACCTGGTATGCAGACATTGACTTGGCAAATGCCTTTTTCTCCATTCCTGTCCATAAGGCTCACCAGAAGCAATTTGCCTTCAGCTGGCAAGACCAGCAATATACCTTTACTGTCCTGCCTCAGGGTTATATCGACTCTCCCGCTTTATGTCATAATCTTATTCCAAGAGACCTTGATCACCTATTGCTTCCACAAGATATCACACTGGTCCATTACATTGGTAACATTATGCTGATTAGATCCAATGAGCAAGAAGTAGCAAACACACTGGACTGACTGGTGAGACATTTCCATGACAGAGGAAAAAAAAATAAATCCGACTAAAATTGAAGGACCTTCTACCTCAGTAAAATTTCAAGGGGTCCAGTGATGTGGGGCTTTTTGAGGTATTCCTTCTAAAGTGAAGGATAAGTTGCTGGATTTGGCCCCTTCTACAACCATTGTGCATCTTTAGCACAATGCCTAGTAGCCCTATTTGGATTCTGAAGGCAATATATTCCTCATTTGTGTGAACTGAAAGGCTGCCAGTTTCGAGTGGGGTCCACAAAAAGAGAATGCTCTGCAACAGTTCTAGGCTGCTGTGCAAGCTGCTCTGTCACTTGGACCATATGACCCAGTAGATCCAATGGTGCCTGAGGTGTTATTGGCAAATAGGGATGCTATTTGGAGCCTTTGGCAGACCCCCATAGGTGAATCACAGTGGAGGCCTCTATTTTGGAGCAAGGCCCTGCCATCTTCTGCAGATAACTACCCCCCTTTTGAGCAACAGCTCTTGGCCTGTTAATGGGCTAAGGTGGAAATTGGACATTTGGCCATGGGTCATCAAGTACCATATGAGCTGAACTGCCTATCATGAGCTGGGTGCTTTCTGACCTATCTAACCATAAAGTGGGTCATGCACAACAGCATTCCATCATCAAACACAAGTGGTATATACGTGATCAGGCTCCAGCAGGTCCTGGAGGCAAAAGTTACATGAGAAAGTGGCTCAAATGTCCATGGTCTCCACTCCTGCCACCTGCCCTTCTGTCCCCGAGCCTGCACCGATAGCCTCAAAGGGAGTTCCCTATGGTCAGTTGGCCGAGGAAAAGAAGACTAGGGCCTGGTCACAGACGGTCTGCACAATATGCAGGCACCACCCAAAAGTGGACAGCTGCAGCACTGCAGCCCCTTTCTAGGACATCCCTGAAGGACAGCAGTGAAGGGAAATCTTCCCAGTAGGCAGAACTTCAATCAGTACACCTGGTTGTGCACTTTGCCTGGAAGGAGAAATGGCCAAATGTGTGATTATACACTGATTCGTGGGCTGTAGCCAATGGTTTGGCTGGATGGTCAGGGACTTGGAAGAAGCATGATTGGAAAATAGGTGATAAAGAAATCTGGGGAAGAGGTATGTGGATGGACCTCTCTGAGTGGTCAAAAACTGTCATGATATCTTTATTCCATGTGAGTGCTCACCAACGGGTGACCTCAGCAGAGAAGGATTTTAATAATCAAGTGGATAGGATGACCTGTTCTGTGGACACCACTTAGCCTCTTTCCCCAACCACCCCTGACATCGCTCAATGGACCCATGAACAAAGTGGCCATGGTGGCAGGAGTGGAGGTTAGGCATGGCCTCAGCAACATGGACTTCCACTCATCAAGGCTGACCTGGCTACGGCCACTGTTGAGTGCCAATTTACCAGGAGCAGAGACCAACACTGAGCCCTCAATATGGTACCATTCCTAGGGGTGATCAGCCAGCTACCTGGTGGCAGGTGAATTATATTGGACCTCTTCCATCATGGAAAGGGCAGAGGTTTCTCCTCACTGGAATAGACAGTTAATCTGGACATGGGCTTGCCTATCCTGCATGCAATGCTTCTGCCAAGTCTACCATCCGTGGACTCATGGAATGCCTTATCCAACATCATGGTATTCCACACAGCATTGCCTCTGACCAAGGCACTGACTTTATGGCTAAAGAAGTGTGGCAGTGGGCTCATGCTCATGGTATTCACTGGTCTTACCATGTTCGCTATCATGCTGAAGCAGCTGCATTGAGAGAATGGTGGAATGGCCTTCTGAAATCACAATTACAATGTCAACTAGGTGACAATACTTTGCAGGGCTGTGCAAAGTTCTCCAGAAGGTCGTGTATGTTCTGAATCAGCATCCAGTATATGGTACCATTTCTCCCATAGCCAAGATTCATGGGTCCAGGAATCAAGGGGTGGAAGTGGAAGTGGCCCCACTTACCATCACTCCTAGTGATCCACTAGCAAAATTTTTGCTTCCTGTTCTAACAACATTCCATTCTGCTGGCCTAGAGGTCTTAGTTCCAGAGGGAGTTACGCTGCCACTAGGAGATACAACAACAATTTCATTAAACTGGAAGTTAAGATTGCCACCTGAACACTTTGGGCTCCTCCTACCTTTAAGTCAACAGGCTAAGAAGTGCTGGTTGAGGTGACTGACCTGAACTATCAAGATGAAATCAGTCTACTACTCCACAACGAAGGTAAGGAAGAGTATACATGGAATATCAGAGATCCATGAGGGCATCTCTTAGTATTACCATGCCCTGTGATTAAGGTCAATGGGAAGCTACAGCAGCTTATTCCAGGCAAGGCTACAAATAACCCAGACCCTTCAGGAATGAAGGTTTGGATCACTCCACCAGGAAAAAAAAAACAAAACGAAAACAAAAATGACCTGCTGAGGTGTTTGCTGAAGGCCAAGAGAATACAAAATGGGTAGTAGATGAAGGTAGTCATCAATACCAGCTATGATCATGTGACCATCTGCAGAAACAAGGACTGTAATTGTCATAAGTATTTCCACCTTCTTTTGTTAAAAATTTTTTTGCATGTATACACTTGTACTAAGAAAATATCTTCATTTTATTTCCTGTTTCCTTTATCATGTGACATAAGTTTTATTGACTTCATATCAGCATTTAAGTATTGTTAATGTTATATAATAGTATTTGGGTTGGGGATTGGTACATTTCTGGTGGTACGAAGGATAGTTGTATTATGTTAGGTGTAATTATGACCTTATTATTGTCTCTATTTGAAGATTATGATCTCAGGAGACATATATGGGTTCAAGTTGATAAGAGGTGGATTTGTGACAGTTAATACTAAGTGTCAACTTGATTGAATTGAAGGATGCAAAATACTGATCCTGGATATGTCTGTAAGTGTGTGGCCAAAGGAGATTAACATTTGAGTCAGTGGGCCAGGAAAGGCAGACCCACCCTTAATCTGGGTGGGCACCATGTAATCAGCTGCTAGCATGGCCAGAATATAAAGCAGGCAGAAAAATGTTTAAAGGCTAGACTGGCTTAGCCTCCCAGCCTACATCTTTCTCTTATGCTGGGTGCTTCGTGCCCTCAAACATTGGACTCCACGTTCTTCAGCTTTGGGACTCTCACTGGCTTCCTTGCTCCTCAGCTTGCAGATATCCTATTGTGAGACCTTGCCATCATGTGAGTTAATACTATTTAATAAACTTTCATATATATGTATGTGTATATCCTATTAGTTCTGTCCCTCTAGTGAACCCTGAATAATACACTGACCTTTCACTTTATCTGGCAACTGGAGGCAACCAGTCAAAAGTACTTTTTGTGGTTTCAAATTGCATTTCACTAATGATTAGTAATGTTAATAATTTTTTCACATACCTTTTGATTTTTTTATGTCTTCTTTTAAGAAATGGAGAAATATCTATTTAGGCCCTTTCCCCATTTTTAAATCAGTTTATTTGTTTTTTTGCTATTGTACTGTTTGAGTTCCTTATGTATTTTGGATACTGATCTCTTATTAGATGTATGGTTTGCAACTTTTTTTTCAATTGATAGGTTGCCTATTCATTCTGTTAATTGTTTCCTCTGTTATGCATGAGCTGTCTAGATTGGTGAAATCCCATTGTGTATTTTTGTCTACTTTTTCTTTAGTTGCTTGTTCTTTTGGAGTTATATTCAAAAAATTATTGCCTAGGCCAATGTCAAAAGCTTTTCACATATGTTTTCTTCTAGTAGTATTATAATTTCAGATGTATGGTTAAGTCTTTAAGCCATTTTGAGTTGATTTTTATATTTTGTGTGAGATAAGAACCACAATGAACTATCACTTCACATCTTTTAGGATGGCTTTTATCATAAAAAATGAAAGACAAGTATTGATAAGAATGTGGAGAAAAGAGAGCCTTGTACACTATTGTTGGAAATGTAAATTAGTATAGCCATTGTGTAAAACTCTATGGAGGCTCCTCACAAAACTAAAAAGAAAACAACCATAAGATTGAGGAATCCCATTACTGGGGAAAGAAAGGAGATCAATATGGCAAAAAGATATCTGCACTCCCATGTTTATTACAGCATTATTCTGAATAACCAAGATGTGAAATCAACTTAAATGTCTATCAGTGGAGGAATGGATAAAGAAAATGTGGCTTATATGCTAAATGAAATACTGTTCAGCCTTAGAAAAGAAGGAAATTCTGTCATCTGTGGCAAGATGGATGAATCTGGAGGACACTATGCTAAATAAAATAAACCTGACACAGAAAGACAACTACTACATCATCTCACTTTTTTGTGGAATCTAAAATAGTAGCATTCATAGAAGCAGGAAGTAGAATGGTGGTTAACAAAGACTATGGGTTGAATGGGGAGAGGGAAGATGTTGATCAAAGAGTACGAAGTTTCAGTCAGACAGAAGGAAAACGTTTCTGAGATCTATCACACAGCGTGGTAACTGTAGTTAATAATATTGTACTGTATATTTCAATGTTCTTAAGAGAGTAAATTACAAATGTTCTCATCACAAAAATGATAAGTACATGAGGTGATAGATATGTAAATTAGATTTAATTATTCTAATTGTATGCATGTATCATAACATCACATTTTACCTCATAAATATGTGCAATCTGTCAATTAAGAATAAAAATATTTTAGACAGGAGGAATATGTTTTGTGCCTCATAAATATATGCAATTATAATTTGTCAAATTACAATAAAAATTAAAAAATAAAATTCAATATGCAATTAAAATATTAAATTTTGTTGGAAAAGAGGAACTTTTTGAATAATCAGTTATTTTCAGAACTGTGCTAAGTATTTGGGAGACAGAAGGAAAGCAGAAGACACAGATCCTGTCCTCACGGGAAGGGGAAAGAAAACTAAGAGTTTTTGAGTGACTCCTATGCGGCAAGCAATTTCACTTTCATGTACTCCTCATAACACTGAGAGATACTTATTACTACTTTCATTTTTATGTAAAAGAAAAGTGAATTTCAAAAACAGCCAAAATTATACAACTAATCAGCAGTGAAATTGGGATCCTGACATAAGAGTTATTTTAACCTGAACACTATGACTTTCCTACTTAACATGCTGAAGTCTAGGCAGAAGCTCAGACTAATTTGGCAGGAGGTGTCGTGGGGAGAGGCAGCATGGGAGAGAGGAGGAATTACAAGTCCTAACATAAATGAATCGAAATTAGAAAAATTAGAGATACAATTAGAATATGACAAATGGAAGCACATTACAAGAGGCGTAATCTGAACCTTGGGCAAACTTTACTTGGGATTAGCATAGTTGTTGAGTTGGTGTGTCTTAAAGAAAACTTACTGCTTTCTCTAAACATCATAGAAGAAGAAGAAAAAGAACAAATCTTAGAAGCACTGGAAAACCAGAAAGTTGTGCCATTAGGAGACCAGAATATTAAGGAATTTCTCTAAGGTATAAAACAGATGGTCTTGGGTATTGGCAAAACCTAATAGAGTGGGGAAATCCACTTTCTTTCTTTCTTTTTTTTTTTTTTTGAGAGATGGAGTCTCACTCTGTCACCCACCTGGAGTGCAGTGGTGTGATCTTGGCTCACTGCAACCTCCACCGCCCAGGTTCAAGTGATTCTCCTCCCTCAGCCTCCCGAGTAGCTGGGACTACAGGTACGTGCCACCACACTTGGCTAATTTTTGTAGGAAATCCACTTTCTAAGCAGTTATGTATAGCATTTATTCCCAGTCTAAGGGGTCTAAGGCCTGAAAATACCTCTGCAAATAATAGAGTTTAGTTCTAGGAATGCCCAGCATGAGCCCTGGGGCTGAAGAGAGAAGTAAGGTAAAGCTCCAAGTCACTTCTGGCTTCACTATAGACAGGGAGCCCCTAACTAAGAAAATGAGCTTCTCTGGCCTTCAGAGGAAACCCACCAGTGACACAGACCCACTCACTAACAAGAGAACCTGGCTGTGACATTTGAGAAAAAAAAGAAAGCAAGCCAATAGATGACATAAATAGGGAAATTAACCACAAGGAAAGCACAGTTAATGAAAAAATTAAATAAATCCTAACAATTAATTACAGAAATGTTTTCTGAGAATTCAAGAAAATTGCACCCATTAAATGAGAAAGAAATAGTATGAAATTTAAGCCTGAGAACACTAAATAATTCTTGGAAGTTAAAATCTGTTTGCTATGATGAAATCTCAGTACAAGGACTGAATTGAAGAATGGAGAGGGCTAAAGGCATACTTAGCCACCAGGAAGCTTACTCTTAAGGACTATTCCAAGAACACGGTCAAAAAAAAAAAAAAAGGAAAAATGAAAGCTGTGAGAGAAAAGTTAAGAAAAATGAAGCTATATCCAGAGATCCAGTATTTACCTAGTAAAATGAGTGTGGATGGAAAAATAAAATCAAAGAAATAATGGAAGAACTTTTCATTTGCTAAAGAAAAAGTATGTGTTCAGATCAAAAGGGCCTGCCATGTGCTTCACGCAAATATGAAGAAACACATTTTAGTGATTTTTATGAATTCCAAGGTTAAAAATAAGATGATACAGCCTTTCAAAGAGGGGGAGGGGTAGGAGGAAAGTTACAAAGGACTTAGAATAAATCTGGCACCAGACTGCTGCTCAGCAAGAGGAGATGCTAGAAAACCCTGAAGAAACAGCCAAGATATTCTGAAGGAAAGGGATTTGGAAACTCTACAAGCTGAATTATCATTCAAGTCTGAAGGCAAAACGAAGAGCATTTCCAACATGCAAGCAATTTAGAAGTTTTGCCACCCACATATCCTTCTGAAAATATTACTCAAATAAAAGTGTAATCCAAGAAAGAGCGGGACATGGGATACAAAAAATAGAGAACAAGTAATTAGTAAAGTATATAATTAAGACAAATAACTCCTCATGGTGCAGCTGTGACATGTATTCTAATGGTTGAGCAAAGATTCCTAAAATAGAAAATATAATTTTAAAATAATTTGGAACAATGTTTTCAAGGAGGAAGAGGAGCAGCAGCAGCAACAGGATCTAGAAGACAAAGCAGAGGAAGCTCGGAGATAGGAAAGGAGTAAAATGGTGCCAATGCTCTGATCTTGTATAGTTTAGGGGAAAGCTGCAGGGAGGGTACAGTGCTCAGGATGCTACAGATTAGTGAGAAGAGACTCTTCCTCCCCTACTCCCTCCGCCATTGTCACTAAGATTCAATTAAGTCCCCAATTCAATTAGCAGAAATCACAAAAATTTCTCAGAACTCAGAACTACTGGAACTCTATTGGGTAAGAGCAGGTGTTCCACATCCTAGTGTGACACTTTCCTGACTCTTATTTGTTTATAAATAAGTTGGCCATAAGATGTCTTATCCAAATCTGGACATGTTTGAGAGTGAATGGGGCTATTAACTGCATGCATGCAGAGGAAATATGCACAAATCAGGACTGTCTCAGAAAATAGGGCTAAATGGTCATCCTGTTAGGCAGCCATCTGCCAGTCATGCTGACTGCACTGGATGGAGCCCTGCCAGGTCTGAGAAAACAGCTGAATCCTTGCATAGCCACAAATCATTTGTACGTTTTCATCACCATCCCTGCAAGACTTACTTTACAATGTACGCACTTCTGTGTATCGTATGGTTTGCAAACATCAGGATTTGTTGGTTTTTAAATCAAGTTTCTGCTAATGGTCATTCTTACCTATTTTCCATCCTGTTTACTCCTGAAGTGGTTAAATATAACATGGAAGGTGCCAAGTTTGAGGTCTATTTCCACCTTTGTTTAAAATGATCACTTCCTCACATTCAAAAGCTGAGAGGCAGAGGTTGTAAAACCCTCCTTTGAAGGGACCAAAGAGATAAAATGGCCATCTCAGAGCCCTGCACACATTGTCCACATGGGCCAGTCACAGCTGAAGAAAACATTAGGAAGCATGAGCAGACAAAAAGACCATAAAACAGCCTTATTAAGCCCAAGTGTGCTTGAAGTTCAGTAAAAGAAAGCAGCTAATAGTTGTGAAGACCACAGGTGAGTCACACTCAGGGTTTTCCACCCATTACCCCTGCCCCTGCCCACTGCCAGTCTTAAATGAAAGCACAATCAACAAGGCATTCCAGTCTTGGGCTTTCCAGAATGTTCCTCGAACACCGCCTCTGGCATATCGTCTCAGACTAGCAAGTGCCTGTTCTCTGCCAGTGTGCCTCTGCACTCTTGCTGTCTTCAAGGTCTTTTTAAAAACCCACACTTAGGTGATGATTAAAATTGTCCCCAATACAAATACATACATGATGAATATGTGTGCACTTTTTCTTTCAATTATTCCTTGTTTTTTTTCTGGAAAACCACTATCCAATCTTGTTAAGCAGAAGTACAGGTAAGTGTGAAACCAGGTGTTACAAAAAATAAAAAATTTAGCTTCTAAAACAATGGAGTTACATTTATTTATAATGCTGAGGTTTAGTTATATAATATTAGACTTAATGTTCAGCATCAAATTATTCCCCCGTAAGATATTAGCTGCAGCATTAATGAGGTTTAGTATCTCAGTCTTGGTAACTCTGAAATCAGCCTCTCATATTTTTCACTGAAAAGCAAGATTTAGTATAAAATAGGTCTATCTTGGATACCATCCAAAGTGGTTTAATTCCTGAAGTTCTAAAAGAAAATTACTATAAAGCAAGATGGGCCCCAGAGTATGCCTAAATTACGTCCATTTTTAAAAAAGTAAATAAATAAAAGCAAATATCTGAACATGGCTTACTATGTGCCTGGCTGTATTTTAAGTGCTTTACAAATATTAGATCATTATATTGAATTCAAAGGGCTTTACTCTAGAAAATTAATACTATCAAATGTGGGTGTTTTGTTTTTGTTTTGTTTTGTTTTGTTTTGAGATGGACTCTTGCTCTGTTGCTCAGGCTGGTGTGCAGTGGTGCGATCTCGGCTCACTGCAACCTCCGCCTCCTGGGTTCAAACGATTTTCCTGCTTCAGCCTCCCAAGTAGCTGGGATTACAGGTATCTGCCACCATGCCTGGCTAATTTGTATTTTTAGTAAAGATGGGGTTTCACCATGTTGGCCAGGCTGGTCTTGAGCTCCTGACCTCATGTGATCCACCTGTCTCGGCATCCCAAGGTGTTGGGATTACAGGCGTGAGCCACTGCACCTGGGCTCAAATCTTTTAAAAATCCTATTCTTAAGACATGAAAAAGGGACAAAGAGAAGGAGAATAAAGATGGGAGAGAGACCAGAGAGCTGAGAGACATAAATAGAGAGAGGAGATTTTTTTTTTCCAATGAGGGATATAATTGATGAAGAGAGTTAATAACCAGGAGGGGACAGTACGAAAAGCTACTCATCAAAACCTAACCCCCTTCCAGCATTGGTATTTTGGGAGTCTTTTATAAGCAAGGCACTGGTAGCAAAATTAGAAGAAAAAAAAAAAAGGAAAGGTGTGTTGCTATTCTGGCCTGAAGAAACTCCAGGCTCCCCTTAACTTGGTGTCTGCTTTTTTTTTTTTCCCACCAATGAGCAATGCCAGGCAATAACAACAAAAATAATTACAATGAACATGAATTGAGAGTAAGCTATCTTACTGGCACTGTACTAGGCATATTACATGCATTTTAACCTTTGTGTTACATTCTGCAGAATAGCTTGCTGATATCTATTCCCTTATAGATGATGTCAATGCCACTGCGCCACAGATATACTTTGTGTAGTCAGGAAATAGAGGGTGAAGAGTGAAAGACTATATTTTGCTAATTCTTTTATAGTACAGCTAGTTCCGTAGCTTGGACCAAACTGATATACCTGCATGAGATTTGGGAGATTCAAGGATATCAAGTGGGGTCAAAGCTATGCTTCTGTTACTTCTGTAAAACAGTGCCTTGGAGGTATTGATGTATCAGCTGTAGGAGAAGCCAGTCACTCAGGACCACACCTAGCTTTATGGCTGTTGAGAGGCAAGGAGCAGGGTGTCCATATTCTTAGTCCACATCCTGGCAAAGATTTGGGGGGACAAGCAAACATGATGGCAGCTCCTTGTTCCCCCAATTTCCTGATTGTTAAAGAGACAAAAGCTCACTTAGTGGGCAATTTCTGCAGTATCATTGTGGGAGTCATTCCTGGAAGCTAAGCCTATAGTCTGCTTCCTCCGCCTTCAAAATTTTATAAGTACCTATCCCTTGTGCTAAATCTCTTTCTGCTGAAACTGTCTTGAAGAGATTCTGTTATGTGCTACTCTGACCATAGTACCTTGACTGACTAGGACTGGTTATCTGATCTGGTTGGGTTGGAGGATAGTGAAGACTCAGTTGCCATTGAAGAATGAAATACTTATCATTCACAATATGCAGCAGAAAATTAATTCCTGAAACTATCACCTATAGCCATACAGAAATAGTGCCTGTTGAGGAAATGATTTTGGAAGCTAGAGGTTACTTCTACAGCACAGTATGAGAAGCACAAGAAATATGAGAACTTTACCAAGGGTTGGATGCTCCTAACTGCACTTCAGAGCTTAAAGAGAATTCAAGGCTCAGCATTGTCAATTTTTGGATCAAAACATGGTCAGAGAACTAGGGAATGTCTTAGGTTACCCTAAAAGAATTTCTTATCTCATCTCAAGAATAAGGTATCTAAAAGATATGGACTCAACCTAGGTACTCATCAACAGTGGGTCGCATAAAGAAAATGTGGTACATATACACCATGGAATACTATACAGCTATAAAAAAGAACAAAAGCATGTCCTTGACAGCAACGTGGATGCACTGGAGGCCATTATGCTAGGTTAATTAACAGAGGAACAGAAAATCAAATACCACATTGGTGGCAAGTGGGAGCTAAAAATTGGGTATTCATGGATATAAAGATAGCAACAATAGATACTGGGAACTACTAGTTGGGTGGGGAAGAGGTGTGAAAGGGTTGAAAACTATTGGGTACTATGCTGACTACCTGGGTGATGGGATCAATCGTATCCCAAATCTCAGCATCATGTGATATACCTATGTAACAAATCTGCACATGTGCCCCTGGATCTAAAATACTAATAAAGTTGAAATTATAAAAAACAAAAAATAAAATAATAATGATGCTGCTAAAACTCAAACACAGAGTTTCATCATGTGAGTTGGAGAATTCAGTCTTACAACATCTCTTATGTGAAAGCAGAGCATTGACTAAGAAAGAGAGAAACCATGAGAATTAGAATGGTGACATTTGAGAGGGATGGGTTTTCCCAAACACTGCTGAACACCCTTTAACTGCAGAATAATCACGTCGTCATTCCCTTCCTGAAATTTTCCTTTCCTTTCTTGAAAAAAGACCTATTTTCCTCATGTTCCACCTGCACCACCTCTCATTGCCTTTAGACTTTTAACTACAGCAATACATGATTTGTCTCCAGAATGCCCCAGGAAACCAATCACAAAGTCAAATCCAAGAGAACACTTACATGCTAAAAAAAAAATTATAAAATTTTGCTAATTTATCTATTGCTATATAACATACCACCCCAAAACTTATTGGCTTGAATAAAATAAATAAAAATTTTATCTAGCTCATGAGTTCATCTTATCAATTTGGGCTGAGAAGAGCTGGGTCATCTTTCTGGTCTGGGCCAGGATCAGCTATTCGTGGCTGGATATGCTTACATTCTGGGTCCTTAGCTGGCATGGCTGGGATGGCAATGGATTCAAACACTCTCTTTTTCCAAAAGGCTAGCATGGGTATGTTCGCATGGTAATGGAATGTTTCCCAGTGAGAGCAGAAGCTGCCACACTTCTTGAAGCCTAGATACTTTTATAGTATCACTTTCTCCATATCCTATTCATTAAAGCTACTCAGAAGCCTGCTCATTTTCAAAAAGTGGGATAATACGCTCCACCTCCTAATAGAGATGGTGCAAAGAAATTGTAGCCATTCCTTTAACCTACCATATATATGGATAAATAAAAATAACAAAACTAAATTGGTGAAAATATGAGAAAATTAATTCCAATTGTACTAGAGTAGACTGAAGCAAGAGGAATATAATTTATCTTGGCTGAATTTAATGATATGAGTGCACTCAGAGATTTTGGATTTAATATGCTAGCTAGAGCAGTCAGGAGTGATTCTAATTTTTCCTAGGTTGATCGCCGTAAAATATGAGTTACAGTTTAATTGAGATGCAAAAATTAATTTGTATAGCATAGAATGAATCTATAGACTAATGAGGAAGGTGCTGATAACCAGAATAATAGCCACATACCAGGGACCAGGAATAGTCACTGCAATTAGAGATGGCACATGATTAAGCTCATGATACTTCACAGTCACACAGGGGAGTTAAATGGACACAATATTGCTTCATGTTTCTTATTTGTTATGGAAGAAGAGCTCCAGGAAACTCCACTTGGTTCTTATACGATAAGCTAAGAAGCATATTTATAGCATGTACTTGTGACGTTACTGCAAGGACCTTCCTCAAGGGACTATCGGTCAGTGAACTTGCATAAAAGGCTGTGACTCTCTACTAAAGTGATTCAAATCAGGCATCTGTTTTTAAGATTTACAATTATTTTTGTTATACAATGCTGTATTTCCAACTGAGGATAGTTTTGAAAGGGAAAGGGGGCACTGGAAATCATGAAAATGTATACGTTTTTCTGATAAATTGGCTTATTACATTGGTAGACATATCTAATAGTTCTATTCAAAAACTATTTTTTAAGAGATGGTATGTCACTATACTGCCCATGCTGGCCTCAAACTCCTGGGCTCAAGCAATTATCCCACCTCAATGACACAAATAGCTGGGACTATAGGCACAAACCACCATGATTCACTTATTCAAAAACTATTTTTTAAAAGAAAACTGTTTCTAAAAAATAAGTAACACACATTTGTACTTTAAAACAACATTTAAAGAAATTTATTTATTTTGATTATTCAAACATTTAAAAATAATATAAAAGTTGTTGAAGACCAACCATCTCACAAAGAAAACAAGCAAAGCAGGACTAAATTTTAAAAATTTCTTTTTGAAACTGCAGAAGTATCCAGAAGGCCAAAACTTGCAGATCAAAATCCCAGAGAGAAATCAATATCATTGAAATGAGTCCAATAGTCTACCCTACTTTTTCCTTTGAGGCATTTGTTTTGCATAAGCAGCATTAGCTAAGCAGAAAGCAATGGTTAACAATCTTAGAAGATAAAGGCTTTCAGAAATCTCACCTCCTGGAAAGACAAAAATTACAGTTAAGGTGGTAGAACAATTTATATTCCTTTGGATATATACCCAGTAATGGGATTGCTGGGTTGAATGGTAGTTCTGTTTTAGGTTCTTTGAGAAATCTCCAAACCACTTTCCATACTGGCTGAACTAATTTACATTCACACCAACAGTGTATAAGCATTCCCCTTTCTCTGCAACCTCTCCAGTATCTGTTGTTTTTTGACTTTTCAGTAATAGCCATTCTGACTGGTGTGAGATGGTATCCCATTATGATTTGATTTGCATTTCTCTGATGATTAGTGATGCTGAGCATTTTTTCATGTGATTGTTGGCTGTGTGTATGTCTTCTTTTGAAAAGTGTCTGTTTATGTCCTTTGCCCACTTTTTAATGGGGTTGTTTGTTGCTTGTTAATTTGTTTAAGTTCTTTATAGACTGAATATTAGACCTTTGTTGGATGCATAGTTAGCAAACATTTCCTCCCATTCTGTAGGTTGTCTATTTACTCTGTCGATAGTTTCTTTTGCTGTGCAGAATCTCTTTAGTTTAATTAGGTCCCCATTTGTCAATTTTTTTTTGTTGTTGCTGATATGGTTTGGCTGTGTCCCCACCCAAATCTCATCTTGAACTCCCATGTGTTGTGGGAGGGACCTGGTGGGAGGTAATTGAATCATGGGGGCAGGTCTTTCCCATGCTGTTCTTATGATAGTGAATAAATCTCAGAAGATCTGGTGGTTTTATAAGGAGGAGTTTCCCGGCACAAGCTCTCTTCTTTTGTCTGCTGCCATGTGAGATGTGCCTTTCACCTTCTACCATGATTGTGAGGCCTCCCCAGCCACGAGGAACTGTAAGTTTATTAAACCTCTCTCTTTTGTAAATTTTGCCCAGTCTTGGTTATGTCTTTATCAGCAGTGTGAAAATGGACTAATACAGTTGCAACTGCTTTTGGCATCTTCATTATGAAATCTTGGCCAGGACCTATTTCCTAGGTTATCTTTTAGGATTTTTATTGTTTTAGCTTTTGCATTTAAGTCTTTAATCCATCCTGAGTTGATTTTTGTATATGGTGTAAGGAAGTGGTCCAGTTTTATTCTTCTGCATATGGACTGCTAGTTATCCTAGCCCCACTTATTGTATAGGGAGTCCTTTCCCCATTGCTTATTTTTTTCAACTTTGTCAAAGATCAGATAATTGCAGGTGTGCAGCTTTATTTCTGGACTCTCTATTCTGTTCTGTTGGTTTATGTGTCTGTTTTTGTACCAGTACAATGCTATTTTGGTTACTGTAGACTTGCAGTATAGTTTGAAGTGAGTTAATATCATGCCTCTAGCTTTGTTCTTTCAAGAACTTTTTTTTAGGTATAAAACTTGTTTGGCTTTTACTTGATACCAACACTTTGAAAATGTTATCTTTGTCTTCCAGATTCCATTATTTCTATTGTTAAGTCAGCTCTTTGGATTATTTTCATTTCTTTAAAGGTAATGTGTCTTTCTTTGAACTGCTTTTAAAACTTTCTGATTCTTAACAATTAGATTATTGTACATGTAGGTGTGGTTTTCTTTCTATTTATCCTAGACTCATAGGGCTTTAAAATATGTGTTTTGATATCTTTGGTCAGTTTGGGAAAATTCAAAAATATTGCTTCTGCCCCTGATATGGTTTGGATGTTTGTCCCCTCTAAATCTTATGTTGAAATGTGATTCCCAATATTTGAAGTGGGGCCTGGTGGGAAGTGATTGCATTATGGTGGTGGATCCCTCATGAATGGCTTAACGCCATCCCCTTGGTGATGAATGAGTTCTTGCTCAGCTAGTTCATGCAAGATCTAGTTGTTTTAAAAGAGTGTGCCACTTATCCCTTGCTCTCTTGCTCTCGTCATGTGACATGCAGGCTCTCTCTTCACCTTCCACCATGACTGTGAGCTTTCAGAGGCCCTCACCAGGAACAGATGCCAGCACCATGCAGTCTCACCTGCAGAATTGTGAGCCAAAATAAACCACTTTTCTTTATAAATTACCCAGTCTCAGGTATTCCTTGATAGCAACACAAGAACAGACTAATATAGAAAATTGGTACCAAGGAATGGAGCATTGCTATAAAGATACCTGATGATGTGGAAGTGGCTTTGGAACTAGGTAATGGGCAGAGGTTGGAGGAGTTTGGAAGGCTCAGAAGAAGATAGGAAGATGAGGGAATGTTTGGAACTTCTTATAGACTGGTTAAATGGTTGTGACCAAAATGCTGACAGAGATATGAACAGTGAAGTCCAGGCTGATGTGGTCTCAGATGGAATTGAGGAAGTTATTGGGAAGTGGAACAAAGGTTACCCATGTCATGCCTCAGCAAAGAACTTGGTTGAATTGTGTCTACGTCCTAGGGATCTGTGGAAATTTGAACTTAAGAGTGATGATTTAAGGTATTTGGTGGAAGAAATATCTAAGCAGCAAAGCATTCAAGAAGTAGGGTGGCTGCTTCTTACAACCTATAATCAGGTACAGGAGTAAAGAAATGACCTAAAGTTGTAACATTTAAAAGAGAAGCAGAGCATAAAAGTTCAGAAAATTTGCAGTCAGGCTCTGTGGTAGAAAAAGAATCCAAGCATGTGTGGAACAAACACTTTCTGGAGAGATTAGTATGATCAAAAGGGAGCCAAATGCTAATATCCAAAACAATGAGGAAAAAGCCCTCAAAGCCATTTCAGAAGTCTTCAGGACAGCCCTCCCCATCATGGGTACAGAAGCCCAGGAGGAAAGAGTGGTTTCAGGGGCCAAGGCACTGTTGCCCTGCTTATCCTCAGGACACTGCTCCTCACATCCCAGCCACTCCAACTCTAGCCTTGGCTCAAAGGGCTTCAGATACAGCTCAGACCACCACTCGTGAGGATGCAAGCCATAAACCATCAAGAAACAGCAATGTGTATGTTTGTTGCAGCACTATGCACAATAATAAAGACATGGAATCAACCTAAGTGTCCATCAGTGGTAGAATGGACAAAGAAAATGTGATACATAAACACCATGGAATACTATGAAGCCACAAATAAGAATGAAATCATGTTTTTTGTGAGAACATGAATGGAGATGGAGGCCATTATCCTAAGTGAACTATCACAGAAACAGAAAACCAAATACCACATGTTCTCATTTATAAGTGGGAGCTAAACAGTGAGTACACATGGACACAAAGAAGGCAACATCAGACACTGGGGCCTACTTGAGGGTGGAGGGTGGGAGGAGGGTGAAGATAAAAAAACTGCATATTGGGTACTATGCTTATTACCTGGGTGACAAATAATCTGTACTCCAAACACCTGTGACATGCAATTTCTTATATATATATATATATAGAGAGAGAGAGAGAGTGAGAGAGAGAGAGAGAAATAGAGAAGAGAGCTGACTTAACAATAGAAATATTATATATATACAAAACAAAATTGCACATGTATCCCTGAACCTGAAATAAAAGTTAAAAAAATAAGAGAGGAAAAGGAGAAAATTAGAATGAATACTGTGGTGTTGAATTGATATTGGAGATAGTGTGAAATCATGGATTTCAGTAAATGTATGTAGATATGGAAATGTTTTAAAAGTCAGAAAGTAACATGTTGATGAGGCTCCAAAGAAAAGGGAATGCTTATACACTGGTGGTGGAAATGCAAATTATTTCAGCTCCTGTGGAAAGCAATTTGGAGATATCTTGAAGAACTAAAAATAGAATTACTGTTGAACTCAGCAATCTCATTACTGGTTATACACTCAAAGGAGAATAAATCATTCTAACAAAAAGACACCTGCTCTCATATGTTTATCACAGCTCTATTCACAATAGCAAAGACATGGTACCCAGGTGCAAGTGAATGGTGGGTTGGATAAAGAAAATGTGGCACATATACACCATAGAATACTACACAACAATAAAAAAGAGCAAAATCATGTCCTTTGAAGCAACATGGATGCAGCTGGAGGCCATTATCTTAAGTGAATTAATGCAGAAACAGGAAACCAAATACTGCATGTTCTCACTTATAAGTGAGAGCTAAACATTTGGTATACATGATCACAAAGCCGGGAACAATAAATACTGGGACTCCAAAAAGTGAGATGGCAGGAGTGGGGGCAAGGGTTGAAAAACTACCTACCAGGTACTATGTTCACTAATTGGGCAGCAGGATCTTTAGAAGCCCAAATGTCAGCATCACACAACATATCCATGTAACAAACCTGCACATGCATCCCTTGAATCAAAATAAAATAAATGAAATAGGGCCAGGCATGGTGGCTCACGCCTGTAATCCCAGCACTTTGGGAGGCCGAGGCAGGCGGATCACTAGGTCAGGAGATCGAGACCATCCTGGTTAACACGGTGAAACCCCATCTCTACTAAAAATACAAAAAATTTGCTGGGCGTGGTGGTGGGCACCTGTAGTCCCAGCTACTCTGGAGGCTGAGGCAGGAGAATGGTGTGAACCTGGGAGGCAGAGCTTGCAGTGAGCCGAGATCGCACCACTGCACTCCAGCCTGGGTGACGAAGAGAGACTCCATCTCAAAACCAAACCAAACCAAACCAAACAAAAATAAATAAAAAACAAATAAATAAAATAAAAAATATATTTTTAAGTCAACAACAACAAAAAAAGGTTTTTGGGATAGCATCTCACCATGTTCCCTGGCTGCTCTCGAACTCCTAGGCTCAAGTGATCCTCCTGCTTCAGCCTCCCACATTGCTGGGATTACAGGTGTGCACCACTGTGCCCAGGTAGAAAAAATATTTTTTAAAAAAAGAAAACGAAATAAAGATAGTTTTTAGACAAAAAAAGGACAGAACTCATGCCAGTAAACCTTTACAGAAATAAAAAACTCACAAAGATATTTTTTCAAAAAAATTGATTTCAAAAAAAATGATCCAAGATGGAAACATGGAGGTGAAGAGAAGAATGAAGGGTATTAGAGGGAGGAAATTTAAGTTAAAATTATTTCTTCAAAGCATTTATAAAAATGCCTTGTGGGAATTGCTATATGTATAGAATTAAATACTAGACAAAGATAATATAAAGGATAGGAAGGATACTGCAATAAACATACAAATGCAGATATTTGTTTAAAAATAAACTTACTTATTTTTCTTTGGGTAGATACCCAGTAGTGAGATCGCTGAATCAAATAGTAGTTCTATTTTAAATTCTTTGAAAAATATCCACGCTGTTTTCCACAGAGGTTGTACTAATTTACATTCCCGCCAACAGTCTGTAAGCATTCCTTTTCTCTGCATCTTTGCCAACATCTGCTTTTTTTTATTTGTATTTTTCATAATAGCCATTCTAACTGGTGTAAGATGATATCTCATTGTGGTTTTAATTTGCATTTCTCTGATGATTAGTGATGTTGAGCATTTTTTCATATGTTTTTTGTGACTTCTTTCAAAAAAATGTCTGCTCATGTTTTTTTGCCCACTTTTTAACAGGGTTATTTGGTATTTGTTGTTGTTGAGTTGTCTGACTTCCTTATAAATTCTGAATATTAGTCCCCTATTGGTTGCATAGTTTGCAAATATTTTCTTTCATTCTCCATGTTGTCTGTTCAGTCTATTGATTATTTCTTTTGCTGTGCAGAACCCTTTAGTTTAATTAAGTCCCATTTGTCTATCTTTGGTTTTGACGCTTGTGCTTTTGAGTTCTTAGTCATGAATTCTTTGTCTATACCAATGTCCAGAAAAGTTCTCCCTAGGTTTTCTTCTACTATTTTCCTAGTTCCAAGTCTTACATCTAAGTGTTTAATTCATCTTGCATTGTCTTTTGTATATGGTGAGAGAAAGGGGTTCAGTTTTATTCTTCTGTATATGGCAATCTAATTTTCCCAGCACAGTTTATTGAAAAGGGTATCCTTTCCCCAGTGTATGTTTTTGTTGACCTTGTCAAAGGTCAGTTGGCTGTAGATATGTGGCTTTATTTCAGATTCTCTGTTCCGTTCCCTTGATCTATGTATCTATTTTTGTACTAGTACCATTCTGTTTTGGTTACTATAGTGTTGTAGTGTAATTTGAAGTTGGGTAATATGATGCCTCCAGCTTGTTCTTTTTGCTTAGGATTGCTTTGGCTATTCAGGCTCTTTATTGGTTCCATATTAATTTTATGATTTTTTTCTAATTCTGTGAAAAATAGTAAAGATATAAAATCAACCTAAGTGTTCATCAACAGATGATTAGATTAATAAAATATGCAATAGTATTGCATATACAAATGCAGTACTATTCAGCCATAAAAAGAATCAATTCATGTCTTTTGCAGCAATATGGATGGAATTGGAGGCTGCTATCTTAAGTGAGACAACTCATAAACAGAAAGTCAAATACCATGTGTTCTCATTTATAAGTCAAATACCAGATGTTCTCTTATAAGTAGTCGTCATAGGTTCAGTCATTGGGGATTGTCCCCTGCCCTTCCTTCACTATAAGGTAGCATCTATGTTTGGGGTTCATGTGCCAACATGGCATCAAGGGAGGCGTGTAGTCCTTAGCCATCTGTCTACACTGGTATTCACTGCCATGAATCGTCATTGTTCCACCTGGCTATTGGCATTGCTCCTCCATGCTGACATCTTTTAAGAGGTCACACTCTCAGTGATTTTTAGACATACTGTCTATACCTCAGCCTCAGGTCTGCCAGTGTGCTCTTAGCAAGGTTTGGTGCCTCTTATTTATTTATTTATTTATTTATTTATTTATTTATATTTTGAGATGGAGTCTTGCTCTGTTGCCCAGGCTGGAGTGCAGTGGCGTGATCTCTGCTCACTGGAACCTCCGCTTCCCAGGTTCAAGTGATTCTCCTTGTCTCAGCCTCCCAAGTACCTGGGACTACAGGCACTCACCGCCACGCCTGGCTAACGTTTATATTTCTAGTAGAGATGGGGTTTCACCATGTTGGCCAGACTAGCCTCAAACTCCTGACCTCAAGTGATCCACCCGCCTTGGCCTCCCAAAGTGCTGGGATTGCAGGTGTGAGCCACAGCGCCCAGCCGGCTTGCTGCCTTTCTTAGGGCTATAGAAAATTCTACTCTGCTACCAACCCCATTTCTGTTGTTAAACAGAAAACCTGATGGGCTGCCTCACACCTCTCCAGTCCTGCTCCCCATGCAGCTGTCTCTTATTCTATTCTTGTTCTATTTCTCTAGAGAGAAAACAGTGTGCCTATCTCTTCTTCTCACATTTTGGAGAATTGTTTCTTTAACCACCCACCCTCCCCAAGTTTGGAGCTAACAAGTAAGCAAGGAAGCAGGGCACAGCACACCTGTGCAGAGATTCTCACCATCAGTGAACTCTCCGCCTCTACTCTAAATCATCTCCTAACTCCGACCGAGACCCCTCCTCCCTCTTCTGCTGGGAGCAGAGGTGCTAGTGAACTGGCTCAGCAGTTTCAACAGGACAGGCTTTCTCACACTTAAAAATCAAGAAGTTAATGCATATATCCTCCAGTTCTGCCATGGTGATTTCCTCTTGGAGCAATAAAAACGTCTAGTCCAGCCCAAAGAGGGTAAGGGCACAGCATAAACAAATACACAAACAACAAAAGCCATAAGAATTAATATTACTCAGCCACACCTTAACAGAGCTTCTTACAGGACAGCAAAGAACTCAATACTTAGAGTAAATTTTGCATGTGCAGATGCAAAGCTTAAAATCTTTCTGCCCGTATAGTATGGACCCTCTTAAATGTAGACACTGGCTTTGGAACAAAAAGAACAGAGCACACACAGAAAATGACAACAGAATAAGAATGATGAATGAATAGGCTGCCAGACAAAAGTAGAGTTTTAAAAAATTGATTGTTTAGTATGGAATAGTGTTTCTCACTAGGGTTATTAGAATTGTGAGGGTCTTTAAATGCATTTTCAAAGGTCCACCTGTTCTGTATAGAAATTCTGTGAGTGTGTATTTTCTTTTCAATGATAATCCTCAAAGACAATATAAACACATTTGTAGCCATCTATGTAACCACTTTATCCTCAAATATTATCATGCAATTTTAGTTTCTACTTCTGAATTTGTGTTTGCAGTAGTCCTGAGGAATTACTTTAAGTGACTATATTTAAGTTTAATGCATTGGAAACATGCTTGCCTGATGTCAGGGTCAGCAGCCAGACGTTAGGTGTCTTAATATTAGAACATAAACAACTTCCCTTGTTCCCAGTTATGCTAGAGTTGAATTATTTTTCCTAGTTATGAATATGCAACTTCTCTTTTGAATGATTGTTTTCAATTAAAAGGCTTTCCCATAGAATGCAATTTCAATTTCTTATATTAGTAGATAAATGAAATTGATTTGACAACATAAAACAACCTCCTGCCACCAAGTAATATAAGAGAGCATGTATTCTAATGATTACAGGCTAATATAAAAAGAACAGTTGAGTATTTAATGCATAAATCAGGCATTTCTGCTAAATGAAGACCAAATGATGTCACTGTCAGCCTTATGAAAATAAATTTCTCACATTTGAATAAAGAAAAGGGGTGGGAAACTTGAGTCATCTCATGGCACAAGAGAACTTAGGTATGGCAACAACAGAAGACCCAAACAATACCACATTCACATTTCACATTGCAACCTAGCCCATGAAAATCAATTATTCATTACATCAGAGAATACTGTTAACTTTGAAAGTTACTAGGTTTCACAGCTTTATCTTTAGCAGGTAAATTGATTCTGTTCTTATATTTGTATAGAAACTATGGGCCATATGGAGTAGTTTTAACACATGTAAGAAACATTAAAATAAAAACAATTTGAGTTCTCCTCAATGAACTCTACATGCACACGCGCGCACGCACACACACACATGCACACACACACACACACACAAATCCAGGCCCAGTGTTTTACCCGTGATCTCTTCTAAACATTAAAGAAGACATAACACTTTTATACAAACTTTTCCAGGGAAGAGAAAAAGGAAAATATGCATTTCCAATTTATTTTCTAAAGCCAGTATAACCTTGACTGAAAAGAACATTACCAAAAAAGAAAATTGCAAATCTATCTCTCTCATGAACAAAGATGCAAAAATCCTGAACAAAATACTGTATTGTCAAATTGAATAAAAAGGGATTTTTCATTACTTGGGTTTGTGAATCATATAGAGTAACTAGACACTTATATTAGAACAACACTATGTTGCATTTTTTAATTGTGAATGTTAGTACATTTAATGAGGAAAATGTACTTTAAAAGTTAACAGTAGCTTTTTCCCGGGGAAAGTATTATTTTTTGTTTGACAAAACACCTTGATAGATCATGGTTCTGCAAGGCGGAGATGTGAAACAAAGAGAAAGCTAACTGCTGCAAATAATAAAGAAAAAGACGGAGTTCCTTTGGCAGCCAAAAGAAGACATGAGGCTATTAGGCTAAAAAGGAAGAAAGATAAAGAAGTTGAGGCTGAAAGAGAGAGCAAGAGGTTCAGCAACTTGGTCATGTGAGGCAAGAAAATCACTAGTATACATTCCTGACAATGGATATGTCCAATGGACTTGCGAAAACAAAGGTGTCTAATATTCCATGTTAAGTTGTTGTGCTATGGTATAAGCTGCCACTCTATCACCCTCTAAACTTTGGGCAAAATTTTTCTAACGGCGTTGTGATGGAAGCACTTTACAGATATCTAGGAGAGGAGGCTGTGCTCTACGTTTGAACCAAAACAAGGTAGAAAAACAGAACAGCCACAGGAGACGAGAAGTGAATTGAAGAGTTTCATGAGCAAAGAAAATTTGAACAAGAACTGCTGCAATCTACAGGAATGTACACAAATCTCAGAGAGGGCACTGTAGATGGAACCTTTAAGCATTTTGATTTTAATATCAAGAACAAGATGATTTTTTTGAGGTGAGGACAATATTTGGGTTAAATATACATAATAATAATACAAATGTTTACTGAGTTCTTAATAGGTATCAGGCAGTTTTACCAAGCCCTTTGCATGTATTAATCTATTTAATTTTTACAACTGTGTAACTTGAACAAGTTACCTAAACCTGGTTGTGCCTCATCTGTAAAATGGAAATGATTATTGTGCCTCATAAGAGTTGTCACACAATTCGTATGCAATATAGTTGGGATTTGAACTGAGAGAGTTGACTTACCAGAGCCAGTGTTCTTTCCTGTAAAGTCACACTGCCTCTTAAAAATGCTATGTCTTGAATCTGTAAATTACCTTGGGCAGTATGGCCATTTTCACGATATTGATTCTTTCTACCCATGAGCATGGAATGTTCTTCCATTTGTTTGTATCCTCTTTTATTTCCTTGAGCAGTGGTTTGTAGTTCTCCTTGAAGAGGTCCTTCACATCCCTTGTAAGTTGGATTCCTAGGTATTTTATTCTCTTTGAAGCAATTGTGAATGGGAATTCACTCATGATTTGGCTCTCTGTTTGTCTGTTGTTGGTGTATAAGAATGCTTGTGATTTTTGTACATTTATTTTGTATCCTGAGACTTTGCTGAAGTTGCTTATCAGCTTAAGGAGATTTTGGGCTGAGACAATGGGGTTTTCTAGATATACAATCATGTCGTCTGCAAACAGAGACAATTTGACTTCCTCTTTTCCTAATTGAATACCCTTTATTTCCTTCTCCTGCCTAATTGCCCTGGCCAGAACTTCCAACACTATGTTCAATAGGAATGGTGAGAGAGGGCATCCCTGTCTTGTGCCAGTTTTCAAAGGGAATGCTTCCAGTTTTTGCCCATTCAGTATGATATTGGCTGTGGGTTTGTCATAGATAGCTCTTATTATTTTGAAACACGTCCCATCAATACCTAATTTATTGAGAGTTTTTAGCATGAAGGGTTGTTGAATTTTGTCAAAGGCTTTTTCTGCATTTATTGAGATAATCATGTGGTTTTTGTCTTTGTCTCCCCATAAAGCTACCAATGACTTTCTTCACAGAATTGGAAAAAAACTACTTCAAAGTTCATATGGAACCAAAAAAGAGCCCGCATCACCAAGTCAATCCTAAGCCAAAAGAACAAAGCTGGAGGCATCACACTACCTGACTTCAAACTATACTACAAGGCTACAGTAACCAAAACAGCATGGTACTGGTACCAAAACAGAGATATAGATCAATGGAACAGAACAGAGCCCTCAGAAATAACGCCGCATATCTACAACTATCTGATCTTTGACAAACCTGAGAAAAACAAGCAATGGGGAAAGGATTCCCTATTTAATAAATGGTGCTGGGAAAACTGGCTAGCCATATATAGAAAGCTGAAACTGGATCCCTTCCTTACACCTTATACAAAAATCAATTCAAGATGGATTAAAGATTTAAACGTTAGACCTAAAACCATAAAACCCTAGAAGAAAACCTAGGCATTACCATTCAGGACATAGGCATGGGCAAGGACTTCATGTCCAAAACACCAAAAGCAATGGCAACAAAAGACAAAATTGACAAATGGGATCTAATTAAACTAAAGAGCTTCTGCACAGCAAAAGAAACTACCATCAGAGTGAACAGGCAACCTACAAAATGGGAGAAAATTTTCGCAACCTACTCATCTGACAAAGGGCTAATATCCAGAATCTACAATGAACTCAAACAAATTTACAAGGAAAAAACAAACAACCCCATCAAAAAGTGGGCGAAGGACATGAACAGACACTTCTCAAAAGAAGACATTTATGCAGCCAAAAAACACATGAACAAATGCTCAACATCACTGGCCATCAGAGAAATGCAAATCAAAACCACAGTGAGATACCATCTCACACCAGTTAGAATGGCAATCATTAAAAAGGCAGGAAACAACAGGTGCTGGAGAGGATGTGGAGAAATAGGAACACTTTTACACTGTTGGTGGGACTGTAAACTAGTTCAACCATTGTGGAAGTCAGTGTGGTGATTCCTCAGGGACCTAGAACTAGAAATACCATTTGACCCAGCCATCCCATTACTGGGTATATACCCAAAGGACTATAAATCATGCTGCTATAAAGACACATGCACACGTATGTTTATTGCGGCATTATTCACAATAGCAAAGACTTGGAACCAACCCAAATGTCCAACAATGATAGACTGGATTAAGAAAATGTGGCACATATACACAATGGAATACTATGCAGCCATAAAAAATGATGAGTTCATGTCCTTTGTAGGGACATGGATGAAATTGGAAATCATCATTCTCAGTAAACTATCACAAGAACAAAAAACCAAACACCGCATATTCTCACTCATAGGTGGGAATTGAACAATGAGATCACATGGACACATGAAGGGGAATATCTCACTCTGGGGACTGTTGTGGGGTGGGGGGAGGGGGGAGGGATAGCATTGGGATATATACCTAATGCTAGATGACGAGTTAGTGGGTGCAGCGCACCAACATGGCACATGTATACATATGTAACTAACCTGCACAATGTGCACATGTACCCTAAAACTTAAAGTATAATAAAAAAAATGCTATGTCTTCACTTTTCTTTTGGGGACTCAGTCATACATTAAAACAGACAAACAAAACAAAACAAAACAAAAAACATTCTTGTTGGCTTCATAAAATCCTGAGTTATGTCCCAACTAATATTGCATTGGATCAGAACTTTATCTTTTGCATGGACTGCCCCTGGCTAGTCTCCTTGCTTCCAGTCCTAGCTCCCTCAAATCCTTCTCACGTTGATTACTCTAAATGTATTAGTTTATACACTGATTAGTTGAAAACACAAATAGTGTGGGTCAGTATCTGGCCTGAGTAGTTATTATCTGACTATCTCAGTAAAGACTTTGGCAATCAAGAGTATGTTAGACCAAGTAAACATCAAGGTCATCTGACAGATCTCCTTTAATGAAGCTTATTCTGTATTTATTGCTGTCACACTCTGCTCTCTCTCTTCTTACAGCTGGCCAATGGAACACTGCTAGAAAGTCATACTTCTCCACCAGTGTGTGTTTTCCGGTTCTGCCCTTCTCTCTTTTCGTTTCCTTTGGTCAGTAACTTCTCTGTATTCAGTTACCATTGTAGACCTCCACTATCCTCAAGAACCTAACATACTTGCTCTCCTCTCATTAGTAGCCAGTGACATTGCTCCCTACTTTACCAGGAAACTGCAGCAAGCAACTCTAAGCTGTTCCACCTCCTGCTACCCTGGAGTCGATTGGTGGTGATACTGTTCACCCAAGAGTCAGATAGGGAATGGCCCTTGATTCCTCACCAATCCTCATCCAGTTGACTACCAACCCTTTCCCAGCACCTCCCAAATGATAATTCCTTCTAACACTGATTTGGGGTGTCCTTATCATCTTTTATAAAACTACTGCCATAACTCATCTCCTGGTCTCCCTGCATCCAGTATTTCCCCTTTCAAATTTATGATCCAGCCTTTTGATCAATTGAAATCCAATTTCTCCCACGCCATGCTGCCTTGACTGCCCTATAACCATTTTTATATAGAGGATAAAATGTAAGCTAAGTTATTTCTTCTCTTTCTCCAGTACTTTATTGGCAACTGTATCATCAACTTTATGGATTTTAAAGCCTCTCCTGTTTTTCAGCCATTTGGAATCAGAGCAAGATAAAGAGGGCTGGTACTTAAAACTATTTTTGCTTAATGGCTGGATTATCTTTATAACTCTCAGCCCCCTGCTTCAGAATGAGAGAGAAGAAGGCAGCAGAAATAGAAAAGGAAATATTTGTTTTGTCCTGTTTTGTTCATTTTCAGGAACTTAGGATCCAGCAATGGTGGAACAGACATGGTACCTTGCACTCCTCAGCTAATAACTTACACAACTGGCATACAACAAACTGAGGCTAATTAATAGACACATTTAAGTAAAAACATGGCATTTGATAAAAGAAAGTTACCAGGCAAATTATTTTCTTTTGTAGGAGCCATGTAATATTCAAGTTAAGTTGCTTTTGTGGTGTTTTAATGTATTCTGTCACATTTGGGTTAGAATGTCTCTACTCCTGAGCTCGTTTGCACACGCCTGTGCAGTCACAAGTTGTGCTAGATGTGCGCGATTGGAGTTAACACCACATATTTTGGAGACTCGTCATGTCTGAAAGCAGGAGCTTCCTATTCTGGTGGATTGAGGCACGTAGCTGCTTGTTTCAGTTCACTTTTTCCTTCCCAAAAGGCTTAGCAACTCAAGGAAACTTGACAGCTCATTATTTAGGAACTTGGAAGAAGTGTTGAAGCTGGCAAGACTGAGCCTGTCTCCTCCACAATGCCTGCCTCCCTAATCCTCCATCCAGTTTCATTCAGTTACACAGATACTTATTAATTAGCCTAGGTACAAAGGACTAGGCTGGACACCCCAGGGAAGAAAGGAGCATGATACAATTCCTGCTACAGAAGTCGTATTATAGGAGTATTCCACAAATACCTATAAGGTACAAAGAAGTGTCGTGAGAGCTGCACAAAGTGCTACGTGGGAGGACCAAGCTAAAGGGAGGACACCCTTAATGCTTAAGGCACCACTGTGGACAGCTGCAGTCAGCCCAGTACTGCTCTTTACAGCTGAGCAGGGTACTCATCTGAGAGCTTTTTCTTATTTGGAAAATGAGGAAATTATCCTATGTCAAAGAGTTAGACTGACAATTAAATAAAATATTTTATGTGAGTTTCCTCAGCACAAAACCCAAAAGGTAACAGGAGCTTAGCAAATGTTAGTTTCTTTTGTTTTGATAGTATCTTTGAGATGGACT